>NC_000004.12:87557744-87709259 GCF_000001405.40 Homo sapiens | reverse complement strand
TCAGAATCTTCTACCTCAGTTAAATGAATCATTATTTCTTCCTCATTCCCTTCGTGGTAGAAGTAAGCCTTCCCTTGTCTGAATTCTTTTAGCTGTCTTTATTTCTCATGGTACTTTTTAAACTCAAAACACTACTATAACTATTTGTCTATATTTCTTATTTGCTCAACTAATATTACCTTAAGGGTTTTGTAATAGCATACTTGTCTATATATCTCCATATATGTTGCTTAACTCAGTTTCTGATTTATAATATGTATTTAAACATGTAGTAGTTGAATGAATGCACATTTGAAATAATTAGGCAATAACTAAGAATAATAATTGTGTGGCACTAAATGCAGATAACAAGAGAGTAAAAGGAATTTGAAGGAGAGGGTTAAATCACTTGAAAGTGGGCTATAATAGTCTAAGCAGACTAAATGGAGGATTTAAGCTTGGTTTGGATCTTTAGGGCTGATGGTGCAAATTGGAACCAGAGTGGCTAAGAACAAATAGAAGTAGGAGTGTGGCTGCCAGATTAGAAGAGGAGAAGAAAGAAAACAAAAGGTAAGGATACAAGAGGAAAGTTTCGGGAATTACCTAATGATATGGCTAGGCAGGAAACACGCAGGCCATAAGACCAGACTTGATTAGCTGGAAGCCCAGAAAGTAAGCTCTGCTTTCAGGATTCAGGCTGTTTGTAGAGAAGTAACATGTTCAAGAGAAAAAGAATGGAGTTTTGTGTTTAAAAAGGGCTGGATCTGATATCAGTTTCACTATCGTTTTTGTTAGGCATGGGATTCACTAATCCTGCGTTTTCTCATCAATAAAATGGGAGTTATAACTCCCACACAATTTGGTTGTTATGGGGGTTAATTAAGATACTATGTGGGAAGTTCTTGACACAGAGCTCTCAGTAAAAGATGACCATCATTAATGTTTGCTATGGGCTCCAATTTGAACACTTGTTAGGTATGTTGTCTCCAGTCCATTAGCAGCCAGATGGTCTCTGGGACTTGTCCTGTTCCTGATTATTGCAGAAAAAGCCTTTCTCAAATTAAGATGGAGATCCTGATAGAAATGATCATGATGATGATGATGACGATGAAAATTATAACAGAACTTATAGTAGCTAATATTAATTGAGTGCTTATTATGTGATAGGAACCATGTTAATTGTCTCATAAGAATTACAGCATTTAATCCTAACAAAAATGTGTATTGTAAATGAAACAACTGGGACTGATTTTTGAGCATTGTAGCAGGGGTCCTTTGGAACAAAATGTGTCTAGATCCCAGGAATCCCAGTCACTAGAAATACAGTGGAAGCCAGAACAGGGAGGCCAGGCGCAGGGAAAAGGCCCCTAGATGAAGAGACTTACCCCACCATGGAATCCAAGACAGTAGTCAAAAGGGGTAGGAGTCTCAGATCTGACCAAGGAGGGGCTTTCTACCAGGGACTCTGATCCAGCAAGCAGGCCAGGGTATGGGGGAGCCCAGGCAGCAGGCACTGCTTTAGGCAGGTGGTGGAACTGTGATTCCAAGCAGGGGCCTTCTCAGCAGCAGGAGATTACAGGAAGCAAGATACTGCCTCCCTGGGGAAAGAGTTTAGCAAGAGCTACGCATGATAAGGACACCATCTCATGAACTAGGGCAAAAATGTCAAAAATCTGTGTCTCTTGTACAATTTGAGCAAGGAAATGGCCCCCGGAAGCCTGTGTTTGAGACCCAATCTAGGCCTAACAAGGAAGAATATTGTGATTGATTAGCGAAGTCTGCCTCTAGTGCTAGGGAAAGAAGCGACAATATACTGCTTGTGAATCTTGGCTGTCCTAGAACAACCTGGAAGACTTGAAGAAAAAAGGAGAGAGATTGATATAAAAGGGGATTATTGTGAAGGGACTATGCAAAGCTTTTAGAGGCTGCAGGGAAGGAGAAAAGGTAATTTTGAGCCTGTCAATTCTGCTGAAAACTGAACAGAAGGATCATGCCTGTGACAATTCTGTATACCCCCTTTCCCCAAGCTGTGGCCTTCTTAAGTACTGAGAATAGTGTCCTGGTGCCCCAGCTGCCCATGTGCTCCCAAAGTAAAGGCTTGGGATCCAATGCGCCATGTTTCCAATCTGCTATTTTTAAAGACTCATGAGTTTCTCAGAAAAATCCAATATGTATCTCAGAAGAAATCACATTGAGAAACAAAATATAGAAGTGGGCAAAAAAGATATACACATATTAAATTTATTATTTTTATAATAATATTAACTGGTGCTATTGTTTTGAAATAAAAAAAGAACAATTGTATTTTGCATAAAACCCTCTTTTGAGAAATATATTTAAGTTTCAATGTTTTCTATTTATTTGCTTACATAAGAAAGGACACAAATGCCAGCAAAAAGGAAATATCTCAAAAACCTTTCAACATATATTATAGCAAATTATTCTTTTTTTAAGTGAGGAAGAGGGAGATGGTTATTTGAACATTTTTCCTTCTTGAAACTACATTCCTGTGGTATTACTCAAATTAAATCTCTCAGTCATATTGAAAGTGGAAAGAGAAAAAGACTATATTAAAACCAAACAAAATGAATCTGGATCTTTTCATTATATTTTTCTATGTTTGTAACTGCCCAACCTGTTCTGTTTGTGAAAATATACAAATATAACTCTCCACAAAAAGAAACACTGGTCAGTCTTACCAGCCCTGTTTTTAAAAGTAGACTTTTTTTTGAGGGACCAAGAGTAAGGTGACTATATGTAGAAATGCCTATTTGAAAACCCTTCTTTTATTCATATAGTAACCTCTCAATTTATGTCTTACATGCTTTTTTTGAAAAAAGACAAAGTTGTGTCAGAAAATATCGTTAGAATGATTGTATAGATTTCCAAATTGTGTCTTTTGCTTTAACAACTCATTTTTGAATTGTGGGATTACTTAACGTAACAGAACTCTCATCATGCACAGAGCAACAAGCATGATATATTATCTACAAAGTGAGTTTACAAATAGAAGGTAACAAAGATGTAAAAAAGTAATATCTCTTGTCTTCATCGTTTGTGCATGTAAATACATGTATATATACAGTTCACTTTTTAATTTACTCATTCATTTAAAAAGCATTTTTAGTGGGCTGCCTAAAGATATGTGTACTGGAACCTGTGAATGTGGCCTTCTTTGGAAAAAGGGTCTTTGCAGCAGACATAGTTAAGAGTCTTGAGATAACATCATCCTGGATTACATCTGGGCCCTAAATCCAACAACAAGTGTCTTTATAAAAGGCAGAAGAGAAGACAGAGAGACAGAGAGAGACAGAGAGAGAGAGAGAGAGAGGGAGAGAGGGAAGAGAAGCCTGTGTGAAGATGCAGGCAGTGACTGGAGGTGTGCAGTCACAAACCAAGGAACAGCAGGTGCTGTGAGAAGCTGGCAGAGGCAAGCAAGTATTCTCCCCTAGACAGAGAGTGGGAGACCCTTGAGAGCCTTGACTTCCTACTTCTAGCCTCCCGAACTAGGAGAGAATCAATTTGTGTTGTTACCAGTTTGTGGTAATTTGTTACAGCAGCCCTAGGAAACTAATACAGTGTCTTTCAGCACCTTCATGTGCCACGTATACTGTCAGGCAAGAACACATCTGTGATAAGATATCATGTTGCCCTTGAAAGGATCACAATCCAGTGCATGAAACAGGCATTTAACAATGAGTATTCTAGGTGTTGTTTAGACTAAGAGGCAGTGGGGGTCTGGAACAGGAGTCTCATTTACTGGGAGCCTTCAACTGTGCATGAGCGCACTGTAAAGGGCTCAGGTACCTAAATACTCCAAGATGCCTGGAAGTACTAGGGGAAACTTCCCAGCAGAAACAGTGTTCTAGCCAGACTTGAAGTATGAACAGAAATTTTCATGATGAAATATTGGAAAGCAGGCCATGTAGGAGATATCAAGCAGAAGAAATTGGAAGTATAAAAGGCAAAAAATGTCACAAAGCAAAATAGAAAAGTTTCAGTTTGGCACAAGATGAAGCTAAAAATGCATTCATTGAATCCAAATTGTAAAAGGCATACTTTCCCTGCTGACAAGTTATGCTGTTAAGTGAAGGCGGATCTGGCTGTTCACTAGGATGTCAAGGTGATGAAGAGATGGGGTGGGGAGAAAATGGAGAACTATAACCTATGAAAGGGTATGATTTGAGGCCAGGGGCAGTGGTTCATGCCTGTAATCCCAACACTTTGGGAGGATGAGGTGGTTGGATCATTTGAGGTCAGGAGTTCAAGACCAGCCTGGCCAACATGGTGAAACCCCATCTCTACTAAAAATACAAAAATTAGCAGGTTGTGGTGGTGTGTGCCTGTAGTCCCAGCTACTTGGGAGGCTGAAGTAGGAGAATCGCTTGAATCCAGGAGGTGGAGGTTGCAGTGAGCCAAGATTGCACAACTGCACCCCAGCCTGGGTGGCAGAGCAAGACTACATTTCAAATAAAAAATAAAAAATAAAAAGTAAAGAAAGAAAGAAAAGAAAAGGAAGAAAAAGAAAAAAAGAGAAAGAACATCATCTGAGCTGATTTTAGGAAATCACTCTACTCTGGTGGTATTTTTCTTTTAGTTAATAATGTATGTTTTTACCCATTATTTTCCCTCTTCCCTTCCCCTATTCATATAGGTAAGAGGTTCACATGTTCCTTGCCTTGAGGAGAGTTTGAGACATGACTTCCTGGCTTTTGTTTTTAAAACCCTAAATTCACTGAAAGAATAGTTTGAGGAGGTGGTTCTTGGACAACAAGACATACAAAGAGAAAAAGAGAGAGAGAGAAGGAGAGAGAGATTTCCCAGGCTAAAAAGAAAGTTTTCTTCTGGATTGAGAACTAGATTGAGGCTGATGGTTTGAGAGCAGTACAGATAAATGGACATATGCTGCATGTGACATGCAGGATCCTAGGCTTGTGGCTGTAGCTCATTGAAGATATTGTATGCCAAGAGAGGCGAGGAGCAGCAGAGCATCAAATTGAAGGATCTCTGCAGCTCTACAGGCTGGGGCTACAATCTTAGCAGAAATCAGTGTAGCCTCATGACCGATGACTTGAGGGACTTCCCAAAACTTGATACTCCCCTAGACACTCAGCACAATCACAGCCGGGGAAGTGGCTGCTAAGAATGAGTGAAGTTGAACTTTCCACCAGTTCAACTAGATAGAAACTTGACATCTAATTTAAATAAAAGAACAGAATATGGTATTTTACTGAGTCTCTAAGATACATATCCACTAATGAAAGTAGTGTCATGGCAGTGATACTACTTGTATTTAATATCTCTTCTTTCTTTTTTAATAAGAGAACTCCTGAGTGTTAGCTGGGACCATGGTTGTACAGAATGAAAAGTCCATTTCCCAGCCCCCATTGTAGACTAAGCTCTGGGGTTTGAGTAATGTGCTGCTTATGGCTCATGTTTTTCAAGGAAAAGGGTGTACTCTTTCCTTCTGCTTTTCTCCCTTCCAACAAATTAGAGTAAGAGCAAAGTAGTGAGCCCTCTCAGATAAGCATGATTCGAGGAGTAGTAGATCCACAAGAGAGAAGGACTTCAGACCCCTGGCAACTTTACAGAAGGAACTTCCCATTCAAGTAGGAATTTACATGGAACAGAAATAAGCTTCTGTCTTGTGGACCAACATTTTTCATGTCCTTGTCAAATAAGCTGAACTAACATTCCACTAATACCAGTCTATGAAAGGAACTGGAATTGGAAGAGATTGCTGGTGGGGAACATTTTTGAAAATCCAACTTCTGGCCCTGGACATGATGGAAGGAATAGATATTAGACTTATTCTCCCACTTTTACATATGTGAGACTGTATAAGATATATTAATCAAGTTTTTCCAGGCTTTGGTCAACAGACAGCCAAGGGCTATAATCCTTGAGAGAGACATAAAGCATAGGTGGATGCCTTACTTACTATAGTTTACTATCTGAGAGTAATTTCCAAACTGTGACCCCAAAAAGTGGAGTTTAAGCAGACAGCAACAGTCTTGCTGGCCATATAAAAGGGAGATTGAAATTTAGGACTACTGAAGGAGCTGAAATTTGCATCTCAGGTTACCAGAAATAAAGGAGCTTAGCAGACAAGAGTCCCCAGGAATCTGCATCAATATCCTCTGTTAAGTCTTTGACTGAATGCCTGTGCATGCATATGGTACAATTCAAAGAGGCCTAGGAAAAAGCAGATACTTTGGGCTGCTTTTTGTGGCTTAAATGGAAATACTAGAGAATACATAGTGCTGAGAGACAGGGGAATGCCAACAACCCAAAATTGAGGCCCCAGAAAGATCATGATTTAGGAGTAGGGACTACTCTAGCCCTGGCATAAGTGTACTCTAGGCCTACTCTAACAAAGCTGAAAACCAAGCCCCTCAGCAGAATCAAGCTGAGCTGCCAGTAACTTAATCCTCTGCCAGAATAAGATCCAATATTCTTCATAGGAAGACAAATAAATTCAGAAGCTCAACAATATAGCATCCCATGTCAGGCTTAAAAATTAAAAATTACTAGCCGTATGGAGAATTTTTAAAAAATATGAGGAAGAAATGGCAATAGAAACAAACCTAGAGATGACATTCATTGTGGAATTAGTAAACAAAGACTTCAGATGAACAGATGTGGAATCTCAGCAAATAAATAGAAACCAAAGAGACAGAAACAAATGAAAATCACAGAATTAAAAATATGTATTATCTGAAAGTTAAAAATTTGCTAACTGTAACAGCAGTTTGAATACTGTAAAAGAAAAGATCTTGAAGACAGGTAAATAGAAACTATCCAAATTAAAGAACAGAATGCAAAAAGAAAAAAGACTGACTAAATATACATATACATAGCTTCAGTGACCTGTGGATTATTATAAAGTCCTCTAACATATGTGGAATAGAAGTCCTAGAAAGAAAAAGAGATTTCGACAAGAAAAAAACATGTTAAAAGAAATAACAGTTCAAAAATTCCCCAAATTTAATGAAAAACACAAATCCACAGAGTATATTGTTCAGCACCAAATAACTAATGCCCCTGAAGACATTAATTTATTTTCTCAGCAAGAAGTGAACATTTAGAAACTTGGTTTTGAAAATCCCAACTTCTGAATCAAGCCATAATTGAGGAATGAACCACAAAACTGCATAAACACAAAGAAAACCACATCTAGGCATATCATAGTACAATTGCTTTAAATTAAATTAAAAATAAACATTCCAAAACATCTAGAAGAAAAAACATATTACATATAAGAAAGTAACAATAGAATAACCATTAATTTCTCATCAGAAACAATACAACCCAGAAAACAATGGAATGGCAGTTTTAAAATGCTAAAAAATAAACTATTAAATTAGAAGTCTAAATCCAGCAAAAGTTTTCTTCAAAAGTAAGGCAAATAAAGATATTTTCAGATAACAAAAGTGATGACCTGCACCAGAAGAAATGTTAAATAAGCTCATTCCAGTTAAGGGGAAATTGTACCTGGCAGAAACTCAAATCTACATGAATGAATGAAAGAGCACTACACAATTTTCTATTTCCTTCATTTCTTTAAAAAAACTGACTGCTTGAAGCATAAGTAATAACAATGTGTTGTGGGATTCATAATGTATAGAAGTAAAATATATGACAAATGGTACAAAGAAGAGGGGAGGGTAAGTGGAATTATATTTATATATGGTTTTTACATTATATATAAAGTGGTATACTATCAATTTAAGTTACACTATGATAGGTTAATAATGTATATTGTATTCCCTATGGAAACAACTAAATAAATGAAACAATGAAATAATAAGTGAAAAAAGGAGATGAAGTGTAATACTAAGAAGTGCTTAATTAAAATGAAGGAAGGAAAAGATGGAAAAAGAAAAGGGATAAATGGGCCAATTAGAAAACAAATAGTAAAGTGGTAGACTTAAACCTAACCATATCAGGAATTACGTTAAGTGCACAGGTACTAAACAATCAATCAAAAGGCATAGAGGCAAGACCTAATTAATTAGATGCTGTTTCAAGGAATTCTCCTCAAACATAAAGACATACGTAAGTTAAAAGTAAAAGAGTGGAAAAAAAAAAAGATGTACCATGTAAACATTAATCATAAAGAGCTGGAAAAGGCTATATTAATATCAGACATAGTATCCCACTTCAGAACAAGGCATATTACCAGCACTAAAGAGACATTTTATTTTGATAAAACAGTTAATACATTAAGAAGACATAACCATGCTAAAAGTGTATGTACTTTATGATAGAACTTTAAAATAAATGAAGCAACAACTGGCAAAGGTAATAGAAAAATAGACAAACCTACAATTGCGGTTGGATAGTGTAGCACTCCTCCCTCAGTAACGGAAGCATAAAAGACAAACAATAGTAAGCATGTTGATTTGGACCACACTATCAACCAACTTAGTCTAACTGACATTAACAGAACACTACATCCAACACCTGAGCCATGCACTGGGTCATAAAATAAGGTTTAATAAATTTTAAAGAATTGGAGTATTCCAGAGTATGTTTTATTTATTTATTTATTTATTTTTGAAATGGAATCTTGCTCTGTTGCCTTAGCTGGAGTGCAGTGGCATGATCTTGGCTCACTGCAACCCCCACCTCCCGAGTTCAAGCAAGTCTCAGGCCCCAGCCTCCTGAGTAGCCATGATTACAGGTGCCAACCACCACACCTGGCTAATTTTTGTATTTTTAGTAGAGATGGGATTTCACCATGTTGGCCAGGCTGCTCTCGAACTCCTGACCTCAGGTGATCCGCCCGCCTCGGCCTCCCAAAGTGCTGAGATTACAGGCGTGAGCCACCGCACCTGGCTCTGAAGTGGGATACTATGTCTGTATAGTATTTCCCATAAATGTTTAGGCATAAATTTAACAAAAGATATGATACCTTCTTGGCTAAAAACTATGAAACATTGCTGGGAGAAAGGAAAGATCTTTCAAAACAGAGATATTAAAAATCATGTTATCTGACTAACATGGAATTAAATTAAAAGTAAATGAAAAGCATATCAGAAAGAAGTTCTTACATGTTTAGGACTTAAGCAACCACTTCTAAATACTATAATTTTAAGTAAGAGAATCCAGAAAAGATTAGAAAATAATTTGAGAGATAGCTAAAAACAGTGCTTAACGTAAAACATACAGCTTTAAATGCTTATGTTAAAACATAAGAAAATATTTAAAATACATGTTTTATGTTTTCACTTAGAGAAGATAAAAAACAGGCATAAACTAAACTGAAATTAAGTTGAAAGAATATTTGTTCATTTATGAGCAGCAATCAATTTTTTTTTTAAAAAGGGACCCACAATACAGAAAAATCCATGAAAACAAAAGTTGGCTTTTTGGAAACATTAATGAATTTGATAAGCCTTATACTAGACTGAAGAAAAAAGAGAGAAAATAATACAAATGACAAATATTAGAACTCAAAGAATGAACATCTCTAGATAGACATTAGATAGACATTAAGGCACATAAATGTTTAGGGATAAATGTAACAAAAGATATGATAACTTCTTGGCTAAAAACTATGAAACACTTCTGAGAGAAATGAAAGAAGGTCTTTAAAAACAGAGATCTTAAAAAACAGATTCAATCTATGAATCCCATGTGCATAGACTGAAAGATACAGATGTCAAGCAGATGCACAATGCTGGTGTCAAATCTCCTCAAATTAATCTATAGGCCCAATGCAATCCCAGTCAACTTCTAGTTGATTCTAAACTATATATGGAAATATGAATAATCTAGAAGAGTTTAAACAATCTTGTAATAGAACAAAATTGATTATACTACTTATTTCAAGATTTGCTATCATCAAAAGATACTGTCAACATGTGAAAAGATGAGAAAATATTCACAAGACATATCTGATAAAGACTTCTATCCAGAATATATATATAGAAGTTCTATGACTCACTAATACAAACAGCACAATAAAATTAATGGGCAAAGAACTTTAACAGAAAGTTGACAAAAGAAGATATACACTGGTCGATACCCACAGAAAAAATGTTCAGCACAAAAGTTATTGATAAATGCAAATTAAAACCACAATGAGATACCACTACAGTTGGAATGGCAGTTTTAAAATGCTAAAAAATAAATTATTAAATTAGAATTCTAAATCCAGCAAAAGTTTTCTTTAAAAGTAAAGGCAAATAAAGATATTTTCAGATATCTTTCATGAATAACAACATCAAGTGCTGGCGATGATGTAGAATGATTATAACTCTCACACATTGTTGGATAGAGTGTAAAATGATACTAGTTTGAAAAACTATCAACTTTATAAAGTTGAACATAGGACTTAGCAATTCCACTCCTAGGTGTCTACTCAAAAGAAAGAAAACATATATCCAGTGGTATTCTGATAAATGTTTAACCACCACTTTAAAATTAATTAATAAAAGTGAAAAATTTTTAAAGCCTGATTTGTAGTATTGCCAATTTCTGTGGCATAAATACTCCCACTGTGGCCAATGTTAAGCTACCAACATAATGTCACTGAACACAGAGTTAGGAAGAGATACCCATTATCAGCTCTACTGAGCCAGTGAGAGTTAGCTCCATCATACCTATGTATAGGACCAAAATATATTTTTAGTCATAGTTTCATCATAATAACAAAAAACTGGAAGCAACTGAAATATTACGCAACAGAAAAGTGGACAGAGACATAGTGGAATAGTCATATAACAAATTGACAATGAAAAGGGATGAGCTACTGACGCATGAAACATTATGAATGAAAAAAAGCACAGACACAAAGGAGTATACAGTATGATTCTACTAATATGAAGTTCTAAAACAGGCAAAACTCAGCCACCATAATGCTGGCTGCAGCAGGGAGGCACAGCTGGGACTGCACGCTCCGAGGAGCCAGTGGGAGCCCCGCCCCTTCTGAGTTGGAGCAGGAGCTATCCTGGTGCTACTGCAGCTGCTCAAATCCAGCTGCAGATCCAGGCCTCCTGCTCCATGGAGCAGGCAGAAGATGGGGACAAGTGGGAGCCCTGCCCCTTCCGAGTTGGTGGGGCAGAGCTCCACAGGTGCAGCTGCAGCTGCCGCTGCCCTCCCAGGCACAGGCACAGAACCTGGGCATCTCTGCAGCTTGCACCCTCAGGGGCCAGGAAGCCCCATACCCTCTGTGCCTGCAGGCTGGGGGTGTCTGCTCCACTGCTTAGCCTTTCTCCTCTCCCAGCCTGGCCTCTTTCCTCTCCCAGTGCCTGCTCCAGTCTCTAAGCAGGGTTGGGGCTGAGCCCCAGGACCATGAATGGCAGTGTGAGGCACACAGATTCCTGGGTGGAAGGTGGGGGTGGGTTCCTGGTAAAGGCCTCTCCTTCAGGCTAGGGAGGGCCTGAAGGCTGGGGGCCAGCCTGCCAGTCCCACAGACCAGAGTGGGAACTTGCGGTGCCTCCTCTGGATACCCATGGCCTCCCAAGGACCAGTGGGCACACACTTCCTCTCCTCTGAGGTCCATAAAAGCCCTGGGTTCAGCCAGAGAGGGAAGAAGATGAGACAAAGGGACAATCAGCTGCAGAGAGGAGTTATCCTCTCTGCTGAGAGCTTCAGAGGTTTGTAGAGACGTCCAAATGACCAGTGGACGGAGAGGAGCCACCCTCTCCAGGGCCTCCTCCCTGCTGGAAGCAGCAGAGGACTGGACAACCAATGGGCGAAGAGGAGCTACCCTCTCCAGGGCCTCCTCTCTGCTGAGAGCTGAACACTCAACCAGAGGGGGAGACTTGCCTTCAGAGAGGAGCTACCTGCTGCAGTTCTCCACTGAGCTGTTCTAACACTAAACAAAGCTCCTCTTTGTCTCCTTCACCCTTCACTTGTCTGCTTACCTCATTCTTCCTGGACACAGGACAAGAACTTGTGCAAACATGCCACTGGCCACAGAGGTCGCCAGAAAGAAAATGGACACCCCAGGGATCCCGTAACACTAATTTATGGTGATAGAAATCAGATCAGCTACTGCCTCTTGTGGTGGGGGTCGGGGTGGGCAGTTGACAGTTAACTGGGTCGAAGCATAAAAAAGCTTTCTGGAGTAATGGAATGCTATATCTTAATGGTGGTATCGGCTATATATGTGTACATATTTGTCAAATCTCATCAAACTGTGCGCTTGGGATATGTGCATTTACTCTATGAAAGTACACGTCAATTTAAAAACTTTTAAACTTTAGTTTTGCTTTTGCTATCCTGTCTCAACAAATATTTTCACCAAAATTTGTAAAAATATGTCTGGATAGATAATATATTAAAATGTTTGTAAGTAAACTAAAATCATAAAGGACTAGCCTGGATAGAATTTTAAAAGTGTTAAGGCAATTGGAGTATGTAAAGATTTTAAACAATTTTGAAAGTTTTAGGGCTTAATTATCTTAAAAATATGGGAAAAAGTGAAAATAAGTTTGCTAGAGCTTCTATTATATGTTTTTATGCTCAGGGTTTTTATTTTATGGCTGGGTTGGATAATGTCAGCTTTTAAGTAATGCCACAAATATTGAAGTATTGGAGGATAAAACAAAATGCAAGTCATGAGTTTCCTAATTGACCTATCTTTTTATAGACATTATTTGTTTACAGGGGTAACGTAATCTTTATATTTGCAAACTGGAAGTATAAAGTGGAAATGTGAAAGAAAATTTTATGTTCTCCTCAACTGCCTGAGACCTTTGGCTACTTCATATACACATTTTCTCTTTAACCTTTTCCAAATTATTCTTCTTCTCCACCTCATCAAAGTAGTGTATCTGTCAAGGTTAAAGAAAAACATCATGGGCTTATATTTAGATGATACTTTAAGAGTTACTTCCAATAAAATGTTACAATTACTATTGTTACAAGTGGCTTTGTTGAATTACAGAGGGATTCTTGAACTGCTCTCTAAATATGAATCAAATTCAAAGCACCTTATTTTTTTCCAACTAGTATCTCTTAACTCCCTTAAACACATGATCATTTTAAGTGTGATGTGAAACCTTTGAAGTTGTTTTATATTCATTTATGCTTATCAAAACATTATTTTCAAGTAACTATTTATATGCAAATGTTCTCCTGAGCATTTCCCCTTACAGGAAGCTAAAGTAAAAAGGTCAAATTGTAGTCAGAACATTTAATTTAGAGCTTTATCTTGATCAAATCTCATTTTAAAATATATTTTTCCTAAAGCTTTAGAATACATTTCCTTTCTCCCACCTCCCCATCCTGTATCATCATTTAACTTGTATTAATCTATCAACATTGCAGAATTTTAACCAAAAAATGTTAGTAGACTTTGATTTAAAAAACAGGTTTAATAATGTGAGAACGTACTTAAAAGATAATCCACATTATTTTAATATATAAGAATTAGATAGCATTTATAATGGGAAGTTTGCCTTAGCAAAATATTTCAGGTATCCATATTCTTCATTTCCTTTCACCTGGAAATGGAAGAGAGATGAGCTGTCTTAATGGATAGTCTCCACATCATCCTTGCTCCCTTATCATTTGATTTTGACCTATGGGAAATAGCAATATCAGGAGATCAGAGGTTTGGAAGGAGATGGGGATAGGGTATTAATACTCCCACTCCCTCCCTATGTTGCTATGGTTTTGACAGTCCCTGTCAGGCAGCGCTTCTTTCAGAGCTCTTTCAGAGCTCAACTTCTTCCCAGGCTTGGTTACATGATTCCCTCCTTTTGATCCTTCAGGTCTATGAGTGGTAACAACTTCTTATTGTTGGAGAAAGCTGATTGCCTCACCATCACTTGTTTTTCCTTCCTTCCTCCCTTCCTCCTTTCCTCCCTCCCTCCCTTCCATCCCCCTCCCTCCCCTCCCTTCCATCTCCCCTCCCCTCCCTCCCTCCCCTTCCCTCCCCCTCCCTCCCTCCTTTCTTCTTTTTCTTTCTTTCTTTCTTTCTTTCTTTCTTTCTTTCTTTCTTTCTTTCTTTCTTTCTCTTTCTTTCTTTCTCTCTCTCTCTCTCTTTCTTTCTTTCTTTCTTTCTTTCTCTTTCTCTCTCTCTCATTCTCTCTTTCTTTCTTTCTTTCTTGTCCTGCTCTGTTGCCCAGGCTGGAGTGCAATGGCACAATCTCAGCTGACTGCAACCTCCACCTCCTACAATTCTCCCTGCTTCCGCCTCCTGAGTAACTGGGATTACAGGCACCTATCACCATGCCTGGCTAATTTTTGTATTTGTAGTAGAGACAGGGCTTTGCCATGTTGTCCAGGCTGGTCTCGAACTTCTGACCTCAGGTGATCCGCCGGCCTCGGCCTCCCAAAGTGCTGGGATTACAGGCATGAGCCACTGCGCCTGGCCCATTTGTTTTCTTAACTGTGCCCATACCTCTGTAAAAAGTCCTTTCATTAAATTCTCTTCCATTATGTCTTTTTAGGAATGCCATGTTTTCTCTTTGGACCCTGACTGACAGAGTGATTGGTTAGGCATGACCCCAGGAAACAGATTCTCAAAGTAGATTCTGGACTGATTGTCATGAGTCCCAGATAATCTTCTTAACAAGAGAAAATATGCCATTGGTAAGCTATGGCATGAAAAGGCACTATGTTAACTCAAATTATCGGCAGTAATAGCATGAGACAGGGTCCAAGTGGAGAACAGGGTTTGGAAGATGAAGTAGCTGGACATTTGTTGTTATTGCTTTGACAGTAATAACATATCTATAGGGGGTGATATACCTACTTCTGACTGCCTTGGAGAACTTTTTTTAAAAAAGATGAATGTAAAGCTTTATCCTCCAAAATCAAGGTTTAGGGGGAGAATCAGTATGCCTTTTTGATGTCCCTAAAGAAAATCCTTGTCTAATGTAGCTGTAAGGAAGATATGGTTAAGGTTCATGCCCAAGGCATGATTGTATAGGTTACAGAGTTACAAAACCAGTTAAATAGGCAATCTGATCAAGTTAGGCTAAGCTAAGGGCCTCATTCAGAAAGTACTGGGACTCTCAAACTTAGTATAGGGAAATTTGGGCAGAAATAGCCCATGCTGAGAACTGTAAATCCCCCCAGACATCTCTGAATCATCTTTGCCAATTGAAGTAAACTTTCACCTTCTCTAAGGGAACAGAATTCCTCTGCATAAAATAATTTCACAGCCTTCACATTTAGCATTTTCCTTCAAGAGGGGGTACCAAATTTTGAAGGGATCCACCCTACCACTCCCCCTTGCTTCCAGATGTATAGTACAGCACAGTCTAGATAGGGAAGGTCTGCTCTAAGAGGAGATGGTATAGACACTGAAGAAATTGTAGGGTCTTGCTAATTTATAGTGACAATTCTGGGGATCTTGCATGGAAGTAGATTCCAAGGGTGTTAGAGCAAGGAGAGTAAAATACACTGTTGGATTGGACCAGATTCATCAATATGGGTGCACATTCCTGAGATTTGGGATTTAATGTGTTGCCTCCAGCTCTTGGCAATGGGACCAACAATTTCCTGTGTTTTAAAATAAAGCCTTGGCTCAGTGGTAGCCTATATCCAATATGACTGAGATGCTAGAACTTCTCTGGCATAGTGTTGAGAAAGGAGTGTAGGGCTTAAAAATGTGAAAATATTGGAGTGAATATATTATGTTGAATATGCTTAGCCACTCTCTAATGCTACCCTCCAGAGGGACTGGTGGACCCTTCTTCTTCAAGACATTCATTGGTGAAGACAGCATTAGCATCCCTAAAAACCATTAGCATCTGGTTTGCCACTAGGGCAATGTATTAGTCCATTTTCATGCTGCTGATAAAGACATATTGGAGACTGGGAAGAAAAAGAGGTTTAATGGACTTAGAGTTCCACATAGCTGGGGGGGGCCTCACAAACATGGTGAAGGCAAGGAGGAGCAAGTCACATCTTACATGGATGGCAGCAGGCAAAGAGAGAGCTTGTGCAGGGAAACTCCCATTTTTAAAACCACCAGATCTCATGAGACTCATTCAGTATCATGAGAACAGCCCAGCAAAGACCTGACCCCATAATTCAATCACCTCCCACTGGGTTCCTCCCATGACACATGGGAATTGTGGGAGTTACAATTTAAGATGAGATTTGGGTGGAGATACAACCAAACCATATCATTCTGCCCCTGGCCCCTCCCAAATCTCATGTCCTCACATTTCAAAACCAATCATGCCCTCCCAGCAGTCCCCCAGAGGCTCAACTATTTTCAGCATTAACTCAAAAGCCCACAGTCCAACATCTCATCCGAGACAAGGCAAGTCTCTTTCACCTATAAGCCTGTAAAATCAAAAGCAGGTTAGTTACTTCCTTGCTACAATGGGGGTACAGGCATTGGGTAAATATAGCCTTTCCAAATGGGAGAAATTGGCCAAAACAAAGGAGCTACAGGCCCCATGTAAGTCCAAAATCCAGTGGGGCAGTCAAATCTTAGAGCTCCAAAATGACCTCCTTTGACTCCATGTTCACATTCAGGCCTCACTCATGCAAGAGGTGGGTTCCCATGGCCTTAGGCAGCTCCGCCCCTGTGGCTCTGCAGAGTACAGCCTCCCTCCCAGCTGCTTTCATGGGCTGGTGTTGTCTGTGGCTTTTCCAGATGCAGAGTGCAAGCTGTCAGTGGATCTACCATTCTGGAGCCTGGAGAATGGTGGCCCTCTTCTCATGGTTCCACTAAACCATAGTGGGACTCTGTGTGGGGGCTCTGACTCCACATTTCCTTTCTACACTGCCCTAGCAGAGGTTCTCCATGAGATCCCTGCCCCTGCAGCAAACTTCTGCCTGGACATCCAGGCATTTCCATATATCATCTGAAATCTAGGCAGAGGTTCCCAAACCTCAATTATTGACTTCTGTGTACCTGCAGGCTCAACACCACATGGAAGCTGCCAAGGCTTGTGGCTTGCACCCTCTGAAGCCACGGCCCTAGTTCTATGTTGGTCCCTTTCAGCCATGGCTGGAGCAGCTGGGATGCAGGGTACCAAGTCCCTAGCCTGCACCCAGCATAGGACCCTGGGCCCAGCCCATGAAACCATTTTATCCTCCTAGGCCTCTGGGCCTATGATGGGATGGGCTGCTCTGAAGACCTCTGACATGCCCTGGAGACATTTTCCCCATTGTCTTGGTGATTAAAATTCAGCTCCTTGTTACTTATGCAAATTTCTGCAGCCAGCTTGACTTTCTTCTCAGAAAATGGGATTTTGTTTTCTACTGCATTGTCAGGTTGCAAATTTTATGAACTTTTATGCTCTGCTTCCCTAATAAAACTGAATGCCTTCAACAGCACCCAAGCCACCTCTTGAATGCTTTGCTGCTTAAAAATTTCTTTTCGTTTTTCTTTCTTTCTTTTTTTTTTTTTTTTTGAGACAGAGTTTCACTCTTGTTGCCCAAGCTGGAGTGCAGTGGCACGATCCCAACTCAGTGCAACCTCAGCCTCCCAGGTTCAAGTGATTCTCCTGCCTCAGCCTCCTGAGTAGCCAGAATTACAGGTGCATGCGAGCACGCCCAGCTAATTTTTGTACTTTTAGCAGAGATGGGGTTTCACCATGTTAGTCAAGCTGGTCTCGAACTCCTGACCTCATGATTCACCTGCCTCGGCCTCCCAAAGTGCTGGGATTACAGGCATGAGCCACTGTGCCCAGCCTAATTTTTGTATTTTTAGTAGAGACAGGGTTTCACCCTGTTGGCCAGGCTGGTCTCAAACTCCCAACATCAGGTGATCTGCCTGCCTTGGCTTCCCAAAGGGCCAGGATTACAGGCATAAGCCACTGCACCTGGTCACTGCTTAAAAATTTCTTCTGCCAGATACCCTAAACCATCTCTCCCAAGTTCAAAGTTCCACAGATCTCTAGGGCAGGGGCAAAATGCCATCAGTCTCTTTGCTAAAACATAACAAGAGTCACCTTTGCTGCAGTTCCCAACAAGTTCCTCATCTCCATCTGAAACCCCCTCAGCGTGGATTTCATTGTCCAAATCATTATCAGCATTTTGGTCAAAGCCATTCAACAAGTCTCTAGGAAGTTCCAAACTATTCCACATGTTTCTGTCTTCTTCTGAGCCCTCCAAACTCTTCCAGCCTCTGCCTGTTACCCAGTTCCAAAGTTGCTTCCACATTTTCAGGTATCTTTTCAGTAGCACCTCGCTCCTGGTACCAATTTACTGCATTAGTCCATTTTCATGCTGCTGATAAAGACATACTCAAGACTGGAAAGAAAAAGAGGTTTAATGGACTTACAGTTCCAGATGGCTGTGGAGGCCTCACAATCATGGTAGAAGGCAAGGAGGAACAAGTCACATTTTATATGAATGGCAGCAGGCAAAGAGAGAGTTTGTGCAGGGAAACTCCCATTTTTAAAACCATCAGATCTCATGAGACTCATTCACTATCACGAAAGTAGCCCAGGAAATACTTGCACCCATAATTCAATCATCTCCCACCAGGTTCCTTTCACAAGATGTAGGAATTGTGGCAGTTTACAATTTAAGATGAGATTTGTGTGGGGACAGAGCCAAACCATATCAGGTGAGTAGAGATTAAATGCCTAAGCCTGGCACACCAAGCAACTGTATAACCTGATCTGCATGTCATGAACTAGATGTTATATGTTTTACAAATCATAAAGTTGGACTTGTATAGAATTATTTTATTATTACATGGAGACGGTGTATGACAGTGGTCCCCAACCTTTTTGGCAGCAGGGACCAGTTTTGTGAAAGACAATTTTTCCATGGATGGGGTGAGGGGGTGGATGTTGCTGATGGTTTAGGATGAAACTTTTCCACCTCAGATCATCAGGCGTTAGATTCTCATAAGGAGCGCACAACCTAGATCCCTCGTATGTGCAGTTCATGACAGGGTTCACCTTCCTATGAGAGCCTAATGCTGTGGCTTATCTGACAGAAGGTGAGCTCAAGTGTTAATGCTCACTTGCCTGTGTTCACCTCCTGCTGTGTGTTCCAGTTTCTAATAGGCCACAGACTGGTATGAGACAATGTGTAAGCAAGATAATAAAGAACAGGTAACTTACCTAAGTAGGTGGCTAACATCTCACCAGGCTCTTGTGACAAAATTCCCTCCCTTGGCACCTTCAGACCTAAGAGTGGCAATGGTGCCCTACTATGGCTAGTCTCTGGATGCCTCACCATTCTGTTGGGATCCTTAGCCCCACCCATATATCTGTAGGTAATCTCTTCACTACATTCTTAAGTTAAACCCTTTTGAGTGAATGAATTATCTACTACCTACTATGACCCTGACCCTAATTTAGTGCACAAAATACATACCCACATGTACATACACACACACAAACACATAAAATATTCCCATTATCCAGGATTATGACAAAAAAAAAAAAAAAGACAGGAACCTGCATGAGTCCAGAGAAATAGTATGCTGTTTCAGAAAACAGATAATCTCTGGAGTTACATGCTCTGAGATTTAATACCCAAAGTCATTATCTGACTTTGGATAAATTTATTTTCCCCTTTGAACCTCAATTTCTTAATCTGTAATGAAGAAAATAAGATTATTTCATTAAGTCATTTTGATGATTAAATGAAACAATGTGTAATAATACGTAAAGCACCTAAGATACTACATGTATAATGTGTCATCTAATTAGTTGTAGGAGTACAGTAGAGGATCACTTATCAAGGAATATAAACACTAGAAGAAGCCAAATGAACTTTTTAAGCGTTTGCTTTATGATTATGTATTCTCAAAAAAATCAGAGCAGTTTGAATAACTGAAGAACAAGTCAGGCCAGGCACGGTGGCTCACGCCTGTAATTCCAGCACTTTGGGAGGCCGAGGCAGGTGAATCACGAGGTGGGGAGTTTGAGACTAGCCTGGCCAATATGGTGAAACCCCGTCTGTACTAAAAATACAAAAAATTAGCTGGGTGCAGTGGCAGGTGCCTGTAATCCCAGCTACTCAGGAGCCTGAGGCAGGAGAATCACTTGAACTCAGGAGGTGGAGGTTGCAGTGAGCCAAGATCGTGCCACTGTACTCCATCCCAGGCAACAGAGTGAGACTACGTCTAAAAAAAAAAAAAAAAAGAGCAAGTCACTATGGTGCATCTTGCTGGGTAATGGTGAATTTCCACCAGACGGCAAAAAGCTGTCCAATGTTAGAATCCACACTGCCCTCACAGAGTGTTGGGGATCCCAGTGGATGAGTTCAGTGACATCTTGGTAATCTGGCTGGGACAGCATGACTTGTGAGAGAAGCTGTTAAGAATGTGAATATTATTTACATGTTTTATCAGATCCTCATTCTTCTGGGAGGTAAAATATCAGAACTCTGGGAATAACCATTAACTGAGAAGAGTCTGAGTCCTTGGCTTTCAAAATTAACAATTTTCTACCTCATGAACTTTGTAATTGCTGGCTACTGATAAAACCTGTACTCACCTTGAAGTGCGTAGTGGATTATTTTTCCTCTAATAGAATCATGGACACCTAATGGGATAATTGTATTTTCATTTAATTTAGTTTAGCTCTGTGTTGTTACTATAAAAGGATTTGAGGCAGCTTACAAAAATACACAAATGGGAAGAAACTAAATAGATGAACAAACCTGAGTGAAGGGAAATGAGGGTAGAAAAATAAAATAAAGCCAAGGGAACTGTTAGTATGTAAAAAATCCAAGTCATAAACTACTATGTGCTTATTAAAGCGAGGCCACAAGTATGTGTTTAAACTTTCTGAAAAAGAAGAGAAACACAATTGGCTATAGGATTCACAGAGTGCATGAGTTTAAAATAGATCAGTTGCCGAGAAGACACAGCATTTTCTGGCAATGAAAACTGAGAGCAATTTCTCTATAGGTCAACATAAGAGGGACTACAGAAGGTTATGTCCTTTACAAACATTCCCTACAATAAACAAAATAGTATCCTCTCATGGGACTATTTCATGTAACTTCCCTAAATATATTTGGTAAAAGTTAGTCACTGAATGTCAAATGATACATATAGTCAAAGTTCGTAGGATATGTGTGTTCTTGTTTGGTAGGAATGGTAAAATTAAAACACCAAGAAAAAATTAACACAATGCATATCCACTGTTAGGAACTAGCAGAACACTCATTGATATTCTTATAATCTAATGTAATAACTTGGATGGTAGAGATTTGATGTTGCTCACTAAAGACATATCTATATGCTTTGATCATCAATTAAATGGTGGAGGACAGGTTTAACAGTACCTATGAAAGTGAAAAGGCCCAACCAAGACACACAGCTGATCAACTGACTATCTTACCTTATAAGAGGTAGACTGAGGGTTTATAAGGAAGAGCCAGGATTTAACAAAAGAATTCCTATAATAAAGATAAGTGCTACAAATATTCTATTACTTTTTTCCATTTATGTCCAATTTATATTCTTCAAGCTTTTTAAGTGGAGGTTGAACTGACACAAAACGTTTCCAAAGTATGTCATATTTCTCTTCTCTCTTTACTCTGACATTGGTTGACAGCCTGTTACAGGTCAAGCACTGTGTTAGATACTAGAAATGCAATGATGGGAAAGATACAGTTATTGTCCTAAATGCCTAGAGAGGTAGACATATTAGGTAGCCATATTTGTAAATACCAGTTCCAATGTAGTCTACGATACTATAGCAGTAAACCAAAAAAGCACTTAGCTTTTCTTGAAAAAGAAATTTAGGGAAAAATGCATAGAAGAAGAGATGACTAAAATGAATGTTAAAAGATGGGTGAGGCTGGGCACAGTGGCTCACACCTGTAATCCCAACACTTTGGGAGGCTGAGGTGGGTGGATCCCATGAGGTCAGGAGATCGAGACCAGCCTGGCTAACATGGTGAAACTCCATCTTTACTAAAAATTCAAAAATTAGCCAGCGTGGTGGTGTGCACCTGTAGTCCCAGCTACTTGGGAGGCTAAGGCAGGAGAACCGCTTGAGCCCCAGAAGTAGAAGTTGCAGTGAGCCAACATGGTGCCACTGCACTCCAGCCTGGGCAACAGAGCTAGACTCTGTCTCAAAAATAAATAAATAAATAAATAAAGATGGGTGGGAGTTGCTGAGTGGAGAAGGGGAGAGAATGTGCTTTAAATACAGAAGATAGCCCCTGGAAAAGCAGAAAGTGAGAAACAGTGCTTCAAGCACAGCCTGTGAAGAGACACAGAGTTGAGAAATGTATGACAAATATGGGTAACAGCAGGTAATTTAGCAATGAAGATGCACAGGGAGAAGTAAGGGAAGGAGGGACTGGAAGTGAGGGGCTTTTAGGCTAACTGAGGCATCCAAAGATGTTAAGTAAGGAAACAATGCCATCAGACTTGGCTTTTAGAAAGATCTCTCTGGTAATGGATTGGAGGACTGTGCATAAGTAAGTTTCACCCCTGTATGGTTTGAGATTGCTGATAATGATGGTCTGATGTATTTAGAATGTAATATTTAGAATGAAATATTTAGAATGTAAAACTGATGTGACTGTGTGGTCAATTAGATTTGATAGTCAGTGATAAAGAAAAAGTGTAATTGAGAATAACCTCCAGATTTCCAGCTTGGGCAACTGTGTGGCTAATGATACTATTCACAAAGATAAAAGAAAATGAGAAAGAATAAATCTGAATTAATGAGTTCAGATTGGCTTTATTGATGACAAAATACCTTTGGGAGATCCGATGGTGTCTTATTGGACATTGGAGAGATAGTAAGGCTGAAGAGAAAATGGTAATTGAAACATAAGTGTGTGGATAAGATTGTGAAGGGGGGATGTATAAAATTCAGGACAGAATCATGACAAACCCATATTTAAGAAAATTAGAACTTGTGAAAGAAACCGGTCCTGTAATTCCAGAACATTGGGAGGCCGAGCGGGGCAGATCACCTGAGGTCAGGAGTTCGAAACCAGCCTGGCCAACATGGAAACCCCATCTCTACTCAAAATACAAAAATTAGCCAGGCGTGGTGGTGGGTGCCTGTAATCCTAACTACTCAGGGAAGCTGAGGCACAAGAATCGCTTGAACTCCAGAGGCAGAGGTTGCAGTGAGCTGACATCACGCCACTGCACTCCAGCCTGGGTGACAGAGCAAGACTCCATCTCAAAATAAAGAAACAAAAAGAAACCGGTCAGGACAGGTCAGGCAGGAAGAGAACAAGGTACCAGGGAAGAAGGAGAGAGAAAAATATTATAAAAGAAGAAGAGTTCTATAGCATTAAATGCTAAGTAGTAAAATTGAAAATAAAATGAGTCAATGGGCTTTGGAAATTCAATTTTTGTTAACCATGTTTAATAAAGCACACCTACTCTGAGGCACTCTTATAAGAGCTAGAGATATAGCAATGAAGAAAACAGACAAAAATCCCTTTCAACATGAAGCTTACACTCTAGGCAATAACAAATAAACATATTCAATAAGTAAACAGTAAATTTGATTTCACTTTGAAGATAAAAGTGTTATGGGAAAAAAATGGGGTAAAAAGGAAGGGTTGGCGAAAGGAGGGCATGGAGGAGGATGACTTGAGTCAACATCATTGGCAAGGTGACCTTCAGGCAAACACATGAAAGACAAGAAAGAGTGAGCCATGAGGATAGCTGGGGAAGAGATTTCAGGGGGAAGAAGTGGCTCCTGGAAAGGCTGCAGATATCCCTGGCATGTTTCAAAAATATGGAGGAGGCCAGTGAGGCTGGAGGAGGGTGAGCAAGGAAAAAGCAATGGAGTTGGGGTCAGAGGATTCTGCTCATCTAAGACCTTGTGAGCTGTTGTAGGAACTTTGATTTTCACTTTCTGTGAAATGGTGAGTCCACTGGAGGGTTTTGACAAGAAGACTGACATGACCTGACTCCTGTTTTAAAGACTCACTCTGTCTACAGGAAGGAGAATAGACTGTCGGGTGTGGGAGAGGACATATTAGGGCAAGGGTGGAAGGAGGGTGCTAAATAAGATGCTCTTACAACCCTCTAGGCAAGAGATGCTGGTCAGACCAGGTAGCCAAGGTGCTGAGGACAGAGCAGCTTCTAGATATTTTCTCAAGATAGTGCCAGCAGAGTTTTCTGATGGAGATGATGTATGAAACCACGCATAAGCAAGTCCATAAAGAACAAGTAGCTCACATCAGAACAGGGTATGAGATGAAGAGAGGAGCCACTATTTTTGGCCTGAGAAACTGGAACAATGCAGATGTTATTGGCTGAGGTGGGGAGATAATGGATAGAACAAGTCTGGATAGGGGAGAAATCAGGAGTTCAGTTTAGGACATAGGAAGATTGACATTCTGTTAAATATCCTGGTGGAATAGGTAGTTGGTACACAAATATAGAGTCTATGCTTGCTTCATGGTATTTAAAGCCATAAGACAGGTTGAGTTCATCAAATGGAAGAGAAGAGGACTAAAGACCGAACCCTGGGGCCCTCCAATATTAAGAGATGGAGAAAACAAGTCACTGAAAGAGTGGCCAATGAGGTAGAGGAAAAATCAAGTGCATGTGTTATCCTCAAAATCAAGTGACGAAAATGCAGCAAGAGGAGGCTACTGATCAACCACACCAAATCCTGCCATTAAGTCAAGTAGGCTGTGGAATGAGAATTGACCATTGAATTTAACAATGTCATTGAGGACTTTGACAACAGCATTTCAGTGAAACAGTAGAGGCAACCCACTGAGAAAGATGAGTTTAAAAGAGACATTTGAAATACTGAGGAGTTTTGTTGCAAAGAGGAGCAAATAAATGAAGATCAGTTGGTGGAGGAGTGGGTGCAGGAGAAGGAGCTGCGTTGTTGTTATTGCTACAGATGAGAGATGGCTACAAACCATATTGCAGTGGGTTGAAGAATGAATGGAAGTTGAAAAAAAAGCCAGGCACAGTGTCTTATGCCTGTCATTCTAGCATTTGAGGAGGCCAAAGTGGGCAGATCACTTGAGCCCAGTAGTTCGAGATCAACCTGGGCCATATAGTGAAACCCCACCCCTACAGAAAAAAAACAAAAAACAAAAACAAAACCCGAAAAATTTAGCCTGGCATGGTGACACATGCCTGTAGTCCCAGCTATTTGGGAAACTGAGGTGGGAGGATCACCTGAGCCCAGGATATCGAGGTTACAGTGAGCTATGTTCACACTACTGCACTTCAGCGTGGGCAACAGAGTGAGACCCTTTCTCAAGAAAAAAAAAAAAGGGAAACGAAAAAAGAAAAAGAAAAAACAAATGATTCCTTCAGAAAGCTTGGTTGTAAAGGGATGGAATGAGAGAAGATACTAACCAAAGGATTATTCAGGGCAGAAGAAATGTTTACTTCCTGTCTTTTTAAAGAAAAATAATGATGAATTGTGGCCCTGAGAAGGTAGAAGAATTTGGGCCCCAGTGCACAGGTAGATGGTGCTGCCTGGACAGAATACAGGCAGTCCTTAAATCAGGACACAGTAAGGATAAAGATGGAGGGAGTTGGAGATGTTTGTAGATGTGAGCATTGAGTGATCAGGGAGATTGTGCTCACTGGTTTCTATTTTCTTTGCAAAATGGAAGAAAAAGTCATTTCCTGAGAGTTGGGAGAAGAGCAGAGATGTAAGAAGAAGAGCGGAGATCCTGGGCTCAGGTGATAAGGGAAACTCATGAGAGGGCATATGATTTGGAATGGTTGTTATTTGCTCTCTCCTGCTGGCTGAACACAAACTACTCTTCTCTAAGCACCCAAACATAGACACATAGCCACACACAAACGTAGGTATGCAAATAGGAAAAAATGCAGCTGAACATAATCTCTCAAATACCCCACTAGGATTGTAACATTCTTTCTTTTATTTACTATATAGCATGTGCTAGGTGTGGGGCAAAATTCAAAGATAGCCTCCCGTGATCCTCACTTCCTGATAGTCATGGCTTTGTGTAATCCCCTCCTCTTAAGTGTAAGCTGGATCTAAAAACTTGCTATCAACGAACAGAATACAGCAAAAAGATGAGATGTCACTTCTGAGATTAGATTATGGAAGACTATGACTTGTCTTGCTCACTCTCTTGCTTTCTCCCTCCAGTGGAAATTGACTTCCTTGTTCTGAGCTGCCCCATGGAGAGGCCATGTGGCAAAGAATTGAGGGTGGCCTCCAGCCAACAGCCAGCAAGGAACTGTGGCCTTCGGTGGGAGGAACAGAATCCAACTAACAACCATATGAGTGAGCTTGGAAGCAGATGCTTCCCCGGTTGAGACCTGAGATGACTGTAGACCCAGTTGACACCTTGATTGCAGCCTATGAAAGGCCCTAAAGCAGGGGACCCAGCTAAGCCAAGGCCAGGTTCCTGACCCATAGGAACTGTGAGATAATAAAATTTTTTTTTTGTAAACCACTAAGTTTTGGGATAATTTGTTACACAGCAACAGATGACTAATACACTCACAGATTTTACACTTCTGTTTCTCAAGTACACAGTCCCCTTCAAATAACTAAAACTTTCCCTGTCCCTGAGTATTTACCATGACAATAACAAAATAAATACATTGTATAGAATGGGCAAGAATTGAGTAGGAGGTGGAAGAGAAGTTTAAAGGAAAAGTGGGGAAATTGATCAGGATATAAGTCAGTAATTTCACCTGTATGGGAGCAGACTAGGATACAAGACAACCCAGAGGAATGAAAAAGTGAAGGAGAAAAAGAAAAGGATTTTGAACAAAAGGAGTGGAGGCATGAAGGAGACAAGCCCTCCCCAAACTTGCTTTAAATGAGCACTAAATAAACTCAGTGTTTAAGGAATAGGTAAATGAGTAGCCTTTGCCACAGATCAGCCAAGATTCCTCAGTGTAGATACTGATTTTAGACTGTGAAATAGCAAATTGTGATATAGAAGCAAGTCAGCTGCCCAAGATAGCTCAGTGCCTATCTAGTGGGATAGGGCATTGGATTAAGTTCTTTAGGTTCCATGGCACAGGACAGCATTACCTCATGTCTAGGCCTCAATAATTACCAGGCACAATATCAGGTCTGTGCAGCCCCAGCTTTATCTCCCAGAAACCAACCTGCTTCTCCCATCTGCATGGTTAGGACACATCCATTTTGAACAACTTGATCACATTCCACTGGTCGCAGATGATCCACCCAAATTAGGCTAGTCAAAATTTGCCTTTGTTCTCCCAAATCACAGATGTTTTAATGCAACAGTGACAATATCATCAATCCTCTGGATTTTAGAAGAGTAAAAAGAGCATGTAGTGTACCTATACATTCCGTCTAGTTATAATCCTTTTCTATTTCTTATTGGTTGTCTAGTCTGAGTAATATGGATAACATTTCTTTAATCAAATAAAAATAATACAGAGGTCCTAGTTAAATGGAGCCCAAATTAGACTTGAATCAAGAACTCCTGGATTTAGTCTCCCACACTGTTTTTGCCTTTTAAGAAAAGGCACATTATTTGGACTGGGATCCTGATTTCATTATGTTTTCAATATTTAAAAGGATCCTACTAATGTCTCCTCTGAGTGTTAAATATGTTTATGATTCAAGTCCCCATTTTTGGTGTTGGGTATAAGGAAAATTACATGTCAGAAATAGAATCCGTACTCTCAGAAAGAAAATTGCTACTCTTGGGTGTCTTTTTAAAGGTTCTGAGATTCATGATGGTGCTTCTGCCGAAATAGAGAAGCCAGTTCAGATCTGACTCTTATGAAAGTAAATTTTCAAAACTTAAAGCAATTCATTGAGTTATTAATTTGAGAATATAAGAACTAAATTTAAATCCTTCTTGACCTATATTACGATCTGCCACAAAAATCCTGGTGGACGTTCTAAGCCAGTTCAAAACCATCTGCATCTTCAAATCACTCGATTGCATTCATGTCATCCCCTCATGGTTCCACCTTTTCCCTTTTCTTGTTTTGATTTATAGTATTTGGAGTTCTTTGATGCTTTCTTTCACCTTTTATCTAATCATTCTCCATGTTGTACAAATTCTTTCCCCCAAATGTCTCCTATGTATGTCCTCTTTTTATTGTTCCTTCAACATCACCGTGGCACAGTACAGCATTACTTCACATCTAGGCCTCAATATGTACGGGGCACATTGTCAAGTCTTTGCAATCCCAGCCTCATCTTCCAGGAACTGACCTGCTTCTCCCATCTGCATGGTTAGGACACAACCATTTTGAACAACTTGATCGTATTCCACTGGTCACAAATGATCAGTCCGAATTAGGCTAATCAAAATCCTTCCCTAAGACTAACAAAATAATCCGTTTCTGTGATGATGGAAAATGTAGAATCTGGGTTGATGGTCATATTCTCCCCGTGTGTACCAAAAAAAGAGGCCGAGTGCAGTGGCTCATGCCTGTAATCCCAGCACTTTGGGAGGCCGAGGCAGGCAGATCACTTGAGGTTGGGAGTTCGAGACCAGCCTGATCAACATGGAGAAACCCCGTCTCTACTAAAAATTCAGAAAAATTAGCCAGATGTGGTGGCACATGCCTGTAATTCCAGCTACTCAAGAGGCTGAGGCAGGAGAATCGTTTGAACCCGGGAGGTGGGGTGGGAGTGAGCCGAGATTGTGCCACTGCACTCCAGCCTGGGCAACAAGAGCGAAACTCCGTCTAAAAAAATAGAAAGAGAGAGAGAAAGTGCCTGTCTTCAAGAGAGAGAAGGAAACAAATACATAGATAAGAGCAAAGACAGAAATTAGAGGCAGAGGTCTGATAGTGGTCACCTTTCCTGTTGATATTATTCCTCGGGCCTGCTGCATTCCAATTCTTTATAATGAACTCCTTTTTAAATTTCAGTAATTTAAATAGCTCTAACTAAAACACTGCGGGAATCTCCTAATTGTTCTCCCTGCTTCCTGTCGTTCCCTATTTGTATCCATCCTCTATGCCACTGCAGGAGAGGCCAAATTTACCCCTACTCACTTAGAGATTTTTGGCTGCGCCTGAGACTGAAATTGGTGTAAGACAGACTACTTGGAGAAAAGTATACACATTTCTTTAATACAAGTTTTGCATGGCGCAAGAGCCCTCATAAAAAATGAAGACCCCAAGATGCAGTTACAGTTGAAGATTTAGATAGTGAATTGGACAAAGAGCAGTAAATTGTGAAAATGTGACAAGGCCAAGGGGTTTGGGCTAGGGGAGTTAAGTAAGCGGATATGTGACTAGGAAGATAAGGGTTAATTTAATAAGGTTTGTTTGCACAGATTCCCCTAAGCTTCAGCTTCCCCCTGCTGATTAGAATGGAACTTTCCCTCTGGAATAAGAAGGACATCTTTCACATGGGACTTCCATCGCCTGCTGTTAAGAAACAGAAGGAAAGTCAGCGTGACCTTCTTGCACCTGCTGTTTTCCAAGTGCCTTCAACTCCAAATAATCAGTATTCCAGAGCAGCATATTGTGACGTCATGTTCTTAACTCTTTCACCACTGACAGACAGATAAATTGGAATCAGTGGGTGAAAGCTCTTAACTTTCAGATTAATGAATTAAACTTTTTGAATAATCAAAGGGAATCTATGCGCAGTTGTAGGGAGGGGGCGACGTAGGGGAAAAGTTAGTTTTACAAAGTGAAGCTAACTCAGTTTAATAAATAGTTTTAGAAGTTTTTAGTGGTTAACAAAAGACTGCATCTCTCTTATGCAAGAACTGCCCATGTTTCATCTTGTCCGAGGTTGACCATCCGCCTGTGCTCTCAATGAGACTTCTAGCCCCTCAGAGACCACACCAGCGAGCAACATCGCCACCTGCTGGGAGTTAGAAAAATTACAGAATTGGATTATCTTTATTCAAATATTCTTGGATTTCAGGGTTTAAAGGTATATTTAAAAACCCTGTTTTTTTTAAGAGAAATATAAACAAGTTCCAGTTGTGTTTAATGATAATTTTTATAGTTTATGTCATAACGGTATTGTTAAATTATAACTCTTAGACTTGAACTCTGGAAAGGCTGCAATTTAGGAATTGCTGTTGTCTTTGAGTAATTTACATTTTAACGCTCAATTGGTGCCATTAAATCACCAGCATTAAATCAAGAAACTATAGCCTATGTGTTTTGCGATAGATGGGGGTTAAGGCACATATGATTTTGTGATTCTCCATTCAAACTGGGTGGAAGAATAAATGTAATTAAATTAAAAGGCATCTTGCTAGAGGGAAAAGTTGTTCAGTGTTACTCTTGGTAATGGATGCTCTTTTCTTTAGTCAATTTACAAGAGGCAATCTAGGGTTTTAAGTAGCAAAATTATATTTGCCTAAAGTTGTTCATTGCTTCGTTACTAATACCAAAAAAAAAGAGAAGAAAGATGGACAAGTAATTAAGTAATGTATGATACCTTGAAAACTGTAAAAATCTAAGAATATGTAAGTTAAATGAGGAAAATAAAATTGCTGTAATATTGCAACTGTGGAAAAATATGCATGCTTATGGAATGGGGCCCCAGGAAGTCAAGCTGTGTTTCTCCTTATGGAACTCTTCATGTTAAAGCATTTGCATGTTCCTTATGGTACCTTTGCCATGTGTCATAATCCTAACCATATTAATCTAGTTTTGGCCAAGGTCTGAAGCACCCTGTCCCACTTCCTTCTATAGAATCTTCTCTAGGCCACTGACCTCATGTGGATTAGATTTCAATTTGCCATAAACCTTCAGGCTTGCTGTTGAACCTCTCCCTGTGTTCACTACTGTCCTTAATACTGCATTTGAAAAGTCGGGAAGGTACAGTCCACTCCCAGATAGAAAATCGTAACATTGCAGCATCAAGCACATATACAATCTCCAGAGGACAGTGAAAACAGTTCTTTACTTTGGCACTCAGACAATTATTAATCCACGTGGTATCCAGTTCCCATGGACATAAGGATGTCTCTGGTCTCCCTTCTGTGTCTTCCTCTTTCTTCTCTTCTCTCCTTTCATGCCTTCTTATTTTACTCCTTTCTTATCCCTCAGGGTCATTTGGTTCCATCAAATTTACCCCTTGGTGAAGCTAGAGGAGAGAAAAGTGGGGAGAGTAATTCACATCCCTTAAGTCCTGCATAGGGAAAGACAAAGGACAGTGATCCTTTGAGGTCCATCCTCAGAGTGAAATATCTAAAAGACAAACAAAAACTTTCTCTTACTGATATTGTCTTCATTTTAAAACATAGCAAAGCTCGTCCTTTCTGCATCTATGTAAATTCCCTATGTATTACTCTCTTTTGATATTTCCTGGGATTGGAGGGGAAGCATGATTTAAGAGGGGAAACACCTAACCCGGGAAGGAGATGAGGGAGGGTTGAAGTTCTACTTGGGGTGGGAGTGGATGTGAGCCCAATGACCATGACCCATTCAGACTCCCCACCCTCCCTCCGCTAGTCAGGCCAGCTTCCAGCGTGCTTCCTTCCTCCCCACGGGGGACTTCCAGCCAATCTGCTAGACCTACAATTTATAAAGGATAGCTTGTGTTGCATAAAAGGATGGTAGCGGTCTCTTTCATATCAGTTACACAACGAGGCCTCTGAGCAAACTCTACATTTGCATTTTGTTGCTTAAAATAATAGTTATGATCTGTGCTGAAAAGAGAAGGCCAGACTTTCTGTTTCATGTGTCTGACCATGAGACCTCCGGTCTGTAGCTATTTTTCCTGCTGTAATTTCTTCCATCTGTTGTATTGTGGTACAAGGACAGAGGGAAACCATTCACACACTTAGGTGAGATTTCTTTTGATGACGAGGTAGATGCTAATGGAAAGCCAGTGAGAGTGAAACTCAGAGACATTACATTATAATTGACCTTGGGATGTGCAGTTTATCAAAAACTATTCTTACATTTTTTTCAGATGGCTGGTTATACCTTTGCTAGTCACTATCTGTGAGCTGATCAAAGCTACAAGTGCCAGTTACTGAAATGTTGGGCCTATTAATGTGTTGGAAGAAGAAGCAGGAGAGTCTATGTGACTGAGCTAAAAATTTAACCCATCATAAGAAATGGATGAGAGTTTGTTTAACATTCTATCTCCAATATTGATATATGCCTGGGACCCAAGAATGACCAAAAGTTTCCAGAAGTAATGCTGACTGCACTTTAGAATTTAAAAGTACCACTGCAGAGGCCTAATCTCAGAACAGTTAAATGAGAATCTCTAGGATGGAGCCAAGACAATAACATTCTTTAAAAGCTCCTCAGGTGATGTGCATCCAGGGCTGAGAACTAGTACTAGTAGGCAGACTACAATGGAATAGGAGCAAACTTACATTCTTAACTCATTTTCACGACATTCATTTATAACGGACAGATTTGCAAACTGTACTTGCATAATTAATGTCCCAATTTAAAATTCTGACCAATAATTATAGTTTCTGATGTAGCAGTTTACCAAATAGTATCTAGCAGGTTGTTTTTTTAATTTACATTTTATTTTAGATTCGCGGGTGTGGGGGACACATGCATGTTTGTTACATGGGTAAATTGTGCACTGGTGGGGATCTGGGCTTCTAGTGTGCCCATTATCCAAATAGTAAACATTGTACCAAATGGGTAACTTTTCGATCTCACTCTCTCCCACTCACCACACTTTTGATGTCCTCGGTGTCTATTACTTCCATCTTTATGTCCATGTGTACCCATTGCTTAGCTTCCATTTATAATTGAGGACATGTGGTATTTGCTTTTCTGTTTTCGAGTTAGTTTGATTAGGATAATGCCTTCCAGCTCCATCCATGTTGCTGCAAAGGACATAATTTTATTTTTTATGGCTGCATAATATTCCATGGTGTATAGATACCATATTTTCCTTATCCAGTCAATTGCTGATGGACACTTAGGTTGATTCCATGACTTTGCTATTGTGAATAGTACCATGGTGAACGTAAGTACAGGTGTCTTTTTTGTATAATGATTTTTTTTTCCTTTGGGTAGATACCCAGTAATGGGATTACTAGGTCAAATTGTAGTTTTATTTTTAGTTCCTTGGGACATACTTCTACCGTTTTCCATGGAGATTGAACTAATTTATATTCCCACCTACAGTGTATGAGCATTTCCTTTTCTCTGCATCCATGCCAACATTTGTGGTTTTAAAAATTGTTTTAATAATAACCATTCTGACTGACGTAAGATAACTCATTGTAGTTTTAATTTGCATTTGATAATTAGTGATGTTGAGCATTTTTTCTTGTGTCTTTTGGCCACTCTATTCTATGATCAGGATGAGCATCTAAGTCAAATTATGGACTAATCAGCGCATTGCAAGCTGTAGCCCAGACAATTTCATATGAAGTCACCCTTCCCATTATCCTATTATCAGTTCTACTGATAAGATTATTCATGTCCTTTGCTCAGTTTTTAATTGAGTTGTTTGCTTTTTTCTTAAGTTGTTTAAGTTCCTTATAGAGTTTAGATATTAATTTTTTGTCAGTGGCAATTATTCTGTCCCATGATGTAAGTTGTCTCTTTATTGTTTATTTCTTTTGCTGTGCAGAAGCTTTTTAGTTTAATTAAGTACTATTTGTCTGTTTTTGGTTTTGTTATATTTGCTTTTGGGTACTTCATCATAAAATCTTTGCCTAGGTCAATGTCTGGAAGAATTTTTTCTAGATTTTCTTCTAGGATGTTTACAGTTTCCCAAAACTTACTTTTTTTTTTTTTTTCCCTGGAGACGGAGTCTCACTCTGTCACCAGGCTGGAGTGCAGTAGAGCCATCTTGGCTCACTGCAACCTCCGACTCCCTGGTTCAAGCGATTCTCCTGCCTCAGCCTACCAAGTAGCTGGGATTAAAGGCACATGCCACCACGCCTAGCTAATTTTTGTATTTTTGGTAGAGACAGGGTTTCACCATGTTGACCAGGATGGTCTTGATCTCCTGACCTTGTGATCCACCTGCCTCAGCCTCCCAAAGTGCTGGGATTACAGACATGAGCCACTGTGCCTTGCCCAGATCTTACTCTTAAGTTGTTAATATATCTTGAGTTGATTTTTATATATGATGAGAGATAGGGATCCAGTTTCATTCTTCTGCATATAGCTAGCCAATTTCTCCAGTATTATTTATTGAATAGAGTGTCCTTTCCCTATTGTTTATTTTGGTCAGCTTTGTCAAATATCAGTTGGTTGTAGGTATGTGGCTTTATTTCTGGATTCTCTACTCTGTTCCATTGATCTATGTGTTGTTTTTTTTTCCAATACCATGCTGTTTTAGTTACTATAGTCTTGTAGTATAATTTGATGTCAGGCAATGTGATTGATATGTTTTGGCTGTGTACCCACCAAAATCTCATCTTGAATTCCTACATGTTGTTCAAGGGACCCAGTGGGGAGGTAATTGAATCATGGGGGCAGGTCTTTCCCATGCTGTTCTCATGATAGTGAATAAGTCTCATGAGATCTGATGGTTTTATAAGGGGGAGTTTCCCTGCACAAGCTCTCCCTCTTTGTCTTCCACCTTCCACGTAAGACATGACTTGCTCCTCCTTGCCTTCCACCGTGTTTGTGAGGCCTCCCCAGCCATGTGGAACTGTAAGTCCATTAAACCTCCTCATTTTATAAATTGCCCAGTCTTGAGTATGTCTTCATCAGCAACATGAAAATGGTATAGTAAATTAGTACCAGTAGAATGGGGCACTGCTGAAAAGATACCTGAAAATGTGGAAGCAACTTTGGAACTGGGTAACAGGCAGAGGTTGGAATAATTTGGAGGGCTTAGAAGAATACAGGAAAATGTGAGAAAGTTTGGAACTCCCTAGAGACTTGTTGAATGGCTTTGACCAAAATGTTAATAATTATATGGATAATGAAATCCAGGCTGATGTGGTCTCAGATAAAAATGAGAAACTTGTTGGGACCTGGAGCAAAGGTGACTCTTGTTGTGTATTAACAAAGAGACTGGTTGCATTTTGCCCCTGCCCTAGAGATTTGTGGAACCTTGAACTTGAGAGAGATGATTTAGGGTATCTGGCAGAAGAAATTTCTAAGTAGCAAAGCATTCAAGAGGTGACTTGGGTGCCAAAGGCATTTAGTTTTAAAAGGGAAACAGGGCATAAATGTTCGGAAAATTTGCAGCCTGACAATGTGATAGAAAAGAAAATCCCATTTTCTGAGGAGAAATTTAAGCCAGCTGCAGAAAATTACATGAGTAATGAGGAGCCCAATGTTAATCACCAGGGCAATGGGGAAAATGTCTCTAGGGCATTTCAGAGTTCTTCATGGCAGCCCCTCCCATCACAGGCCCAGAGGTTTAGCAGGAAAAAATGGTTTTGTGGGCCAGGTCCAGGGTCCCTCTGCTGTGTACAGTCTAGAGACTAGGAGCCCTGCATCCCAGCTGCTCCAGCAAGACTAAAAGGGGCCAAGGTACAGCTTGGGTTGTTACTTCACAGAAGTCAAGAATTGAGGTTTGGGAACCTCTGTGTAGATTTTAAAGGATGTACATAAATTCCTGGATGCCCAGGCAGAAGTTTGCTGCAGGGGTGGGGCCCCCATGGAGAACCTCTGCTAAGGTAGTGTGGAAGGGAAATGTGGGTTTGGAGCCCCCACACAGAGTCCCTACTGGGGCACAGTTTAGTGGAGTTGTGGGAAGGAGGCCACTGTCCTCCAGACCCCAGAATGGTAGATCCACTGACAGCTTGCACCATGTGGCTGGAAAAGCTACAGACAAAATGTCAGCCCGTGAAAGCAGCTGGGAGGGAGGCTGTACCCTGCAAAGCCACAAGGCAGAGCTGTCCAAGGCTGTGGGAGCCCACTTCCTGCATCAGCATGACCAGGATGTGAGAATGGAGTCAAAGGAGATCATTTTGGAGCTCTAAGATTTAACTGCCCCCCTGGATTTCAGACTGGCATGAGGCCTGTAGCACCTTTGTTTTAGCCAACTTCTCCCATTTGGAATGGCTATATTTACCCAATGCCTGTACCCCCAATTGTATCAAGGAAGTAACTAACTTGCTTTTGATTTTATGGGTTCATAGGCAGAAGGGATTTGCCTTGTCTTGGATGACACTTTGGACTGTAGACTATTGAGTTAATGCTGAAATGAATTAAGACTTTGGGGGACTGTTGGGAAGGCATGATTGGTTTTGAAATGTGAAAACATGAGATTTGGGAGGTGCCAGGGTTAAAATGATATGGTTTGGTTGTGTCCCTACCCAAATCTGTTCTTGAATTCCTAAATGTTGAGGGAGGGACCCAGTGGGAGGTAATTGAATCATGGGGGTAGTTCTTTCCCATGCTGTTTTCATGATAGTGAATAAGTCTCATAAAATCTGATTTTTTTTTTTTTTTAGATGGAGTCTCAGTTTTATAAGGGGGAGTTTCCCTGCACAAGCTCTCTCTCTTTGTCTGCTGCCATTCATGTAAAATGTGACTTGCTCCTCCTTGCCTTCCGTCATGATTGTGATGCCTCCCAGCCATGTGGAAATGTAAGTTTGTTAAACCTCTTTCTTTTGTAAATTGCCCAGTCTTGGGTATGTCTTTATCAGCAGCATGAAAATGGACTAACACAGTGATACCTCCAGCTATGTTCTTTTTGCTTAGGATGGCTTTGGCTAGTCAGCCTTTTTTGATTCCATATGAACTTTAGGATTGTTTTTCGAATTCTGTGAAAAAAATGACTTTAGTAATTTGATAAGGATTGTGTTGAATCTACAGATTGCTTTGATTAGTATGGCGATTTTAACAGTATTGATTTTTCCCGTCCATGAGCATGGGATATTTTTCCATTTATTTGTGTCATTTGTGATTTCTTTCATTAGGTTTTGTAGTTGTGTTTATAGAGATCTTTCACTGCCTTGGTTAAATGTATTCCTAGGTCTTTTAATTTTTTGTAGCTATTGTAAATGGGATCAGGTTTTTGATTGGTTCTCAGCTTGAATATTATTGGTATAAAAATGTTACTGGTATTTGTATGTTGATTTTGTATCCTGAAACTTTACTGAAGTTGCTTAAGTCTCAGAGTCATTTGGAGGAGTTTTTAGGGTTTTCTAGGTATATGATATGTCATCAGTAAACAGAGATAATTTTACTACCTCTTTTCCAATTTGCATATTTTTCATTTCTTTCTCTTACCTGATTTTATGCTCTGGCTAGTACTTCTAGTACTGTGTTTAAAAGGAGTTGTGAAAGTGGACATCCTTGTCTTATTCCAGTTCTTAGAGGGAATGCTTTCATCTTTTTCCCATTCAGTATGATGTTGGATGTGATTTTGTCATATATGGCTCTATGGTTCCTATTCTTTTGAGGTATTTTTTTTTGATGCTAGTTTGTTGAGGGTTTTTATCATAAAAGGATGTTGGGTTTTATCGAATGCCTTTTTTTTCAGCAGCTATTGAGTTGATCATATGGTTTGTCTTTTTACTTACTTTTATGTGGTAAATCACATTTATTGATTTGCAGTTGCTGAACCGTCCTTGCATTCCTGGAATAAAACCCACTCAATTGTGGTGAATTATCTTTTTGATGTGGTGTTGACTTTGGTTTGCTAGTATTTTGTTGAGGATTTTTGCATCTATGTTCATCAGGGATATGGACCTGTAGTTTTCCTTTTCTGTGGTGTCCTTGCCTGATTTGGTATCAGGGTGATGCTGGTTTCATAGAATGAGGGAGAAATTCCTCCTCCTTGACTTTTTGGAACAATTTCAGTAAGACTCATACCAGGTCTTTTTTATATATCTGGTAAAATTTGGTGGTGAGTCCATCTGGTCCTAGGCTTGTTGGAAGATTTTTTATTACTGGTTCAATTTCATTACTCATTATTGGTTTATTCAGGACTTCTAATTCTTCCTTGTTCAATCTTGGGGTGTTGTATGTTTTCAGGAATTTATCCATTTCCTCTAGGTTTTCCAGTTTGTGCACATAGTGGTGTATGTCACAGTAGTCTCTGACAATCGTTTGTATTTCTATTTTATCAGTTGTAATGTCACCTTTCTCATTTCTGATTGTGCTTATTTGAATCTCCTCATTTTTTCTTGGTTAATCTAGCTAGCGGTCTGTCAATTTTTTATTCTTTCAAAAAACCAACTTTTTGTTTTGTTGATCCTTTATATAACTTTTTTTCTCAATTTCATTTTGTTATACTCTGATTTTTGTTATTTATTTCTTTCTGCTAGCTTGAGGTTTGGATTGCTCTTATTTTTCTAGTTTCTTGAGGTGCAATGTTAGGTTGTTAATTTGAGATCTTTCTACCTTTTAAATGTAATCTAACAGGTTCTTAAAATGGTGTAACTTCAATTTATTCCCATGGAATAGTTTATATGCTGGGGCATTCATTACCCAGATTTGCAAAGTCTAAATATTTTGTTCATTTTAACTGATTCTTTTGTGTATTTTTTGTATACTACATAGATATTAGTAAGGATATAGATTAAGCTTCTGTAATAAGGAGATCCTAAAATACAGTGCATCAAATAATGTTGAAGTTTGTTTCTCCCTCATGAAACAACCAAGAAGAAAAATATCTTTTGGTACAAAAAGGTTATTTCAATAGTTGGCAATTTACAGTCAATGGGAAGAGAGAAAAGGAAGAAGGCATAACACATCACTTCTGCTCACATTTCACTGGCCAGGACTTAGCCATATTTGTATTCCTTGATGCAAGGAAGGCTAGGAAATTGGAATTTCCATCTAGGCAGTCGTATACCTAACTGAAAACCAAAGATTTCTATTTCTAATACAAAGAAGAAGAGAATAGATATTGTGGAAATTGTCAGTCTCAGCAACATCTTCATAAAACTCATAATCTAAATATACTTGGAATATAAATAAATGATATTATTTATAATTTTATTTTGAGGATATTTTCATTATGCCTTTTAACTCTTCAGAAGCTTAAATTTTGTGTTTATTTGATCAGAAAGATATTTTATGATACACTATTTTCCTTTATACATAGCTTTATCTACTAACCCTAGTAAGTGACACATGAAATATGGATCACAGTATACTTCTAACTCTTTAAGATCAGCATTGACTTGGGTTTTTCAGGAAAACAAAAATTTAACAGAACAAGGTCTAGACAGATCTTATGATTGTAAATGTCATTCCTTTATTCAGCTGAATAGATTCCAGCAGCACACTCATGGACTCCTTTGAAAATCTCATGAAAATCATGGATTCTCTATTTACATAGATCAATAATTTTAGGGGGGTTAGGGAAACCTCTCCCTATGAAGCTCAATTTTAGAATGCCCTAACTGTATATAAAAGGATATCCTCCCATTTTTCACAGCACCCTGGCAAAGTATACATAAAAATCATGAATCTGTGTCTCCGGGACCCATCAGTGAAATTCCTGGAGCACTGGCCTAAGGTGAGACATCTCGCACAGGACCTGTGGCATAGTGCCTATGCAATAAATGTCAGTTCCCTTGCATTTCAAGGCTCCTCTATTCTCTGTGAGAATCCCTTGGTGTTTTACACACTCCCCTTGGGATGAGTGTTATGCCTCCCATCTTCCTCAACACAGATCACACCTCCCCCCCGCCATTCCCACATCATTAAATGCTGCTTCTCCTTCTGGCATGGACATGTTTCTTCACTTCATCAGTGGAACATTTTTTAATCTTTTTGCTCACTCAGCATCAGAACTTTTTTTTTACATATGGTGCATATATTATCCCTTTACATGTTTGCACATGAGACAAAATATACCTTGTGATATAGACGCCAAAAATGGAAGATGCTATCTTTCTAAATTAACTTGTAACTAGCACGTGGGCACTTGGTATAGGCTCTTCTTCAAATAGAGAATTAAGAACTTGTGATACAACAAACCAGGGCCTATGGAGAAAGGCCTCTGGCAGCAGTGACAGCTGGAGATTAGAGGCACGAGTAGTTCCAATGTTATTGGCAGCATCTAGAGTTATTGCCAGTGGGATCAGCAGTACAAGCCACAGTGTCTAGTGCTTTGTGGCAATATCTGCAGCTTCCAGGCTGAATGATTCTGCTGTGCACTAAACCATGTTTGTTAAAGACTTCAGTATAACCTTCCATTTTTGGAAATCAATATTTCTAGAGTTTCTCCAAAATCACCACTGCAGTTTTTTGTTTGTTTTGGAAAAACTTAAATAGTAATCTTTATCACTCTGATCTATATCTTCATGAGGAAACTTTGGGAGAATAAGAATGAACTCTACTAAATGTGGCTCTCTCAAAATAACAGAACTAGGAAAACAAGCCATTAGGAAGTGACTGGGAGGCTCTTGAGTTCTTTAAGTATTGAGATCAAACAGAGAACATAGCATTTCCCTTGCCTATTTTATTTTGAGCAGATAAGGTCATATTCATGAATGTTATTCCACTGCTTAAAACTTTCAGTGCCTTGTCATTGAACTGAAATGAAACCTAGGCCCTGCCATTTCTTGGATTTCTAACTAGAGTAATTAACTTAGCTTTCTTATGCTTCATTTGCTCTTCTTTATTTTTTACATCTATTTTTAAGGGGGAGAGAGTTTATAATATCCATCTCAAAAACATTTATGCTATGTATAATATATCATGTATGAAAACCTAGTGCTGGGAAAGCTCTCAAGAAAAATGAAGACTACTCTCCTTAGTCTGTTATTCAGAGATCTTCCCATTGGATCCCAGCTCACCTTTCCAATCTCTTCTCTTACCATTTTCCCTTCCTCTTTCTCTTTTTCCATGCATCAGTGACTCCAGATTTTTTTAAATCACATCTTAACTTGCCATAAACAATTCTGTACATTTACTTTGGTGTTCTCTCTGCTAGGAATGTGCTTCTCCCCTGTTTTCTCATTCACTTCCTTAGATCAAACTTGTTTATGCCTAATGCCTGGATCATAACGTGTGCTTTATTGAAATAATGAATGTTAATGAGCAAATGGTCTCAGTTGGAAACCATCAATTTCTATTTATTTGGGAGCCACAAGGAGGTGCCCACCTCACCAGAGAATTAGGATGAGTAAAATAAGACTGCCATTTAGAAACTAAATTTTAAGAGCTATATAGATATGTAAAATCATGTAGACAAGAAAGAATGGCTCTGAGGCCAGCCAGACTCCATAGAAAGCAACTTGACTGTACTACTTTATTTAAAGAAAGAATGGCAATATTGGTGGACATGTAAGCTAGTACAGCCACTGCGGAGAACAATATTGAGGTTCCTCAACAACCTACAAATAGAACCAACATGTGATCCAACAATCTCACTACTGGGAATTCATCCAAAGGAAAGGAAATCATTATATTGAAGAGACATCTGTATCCCCATGTTTATTGTAGCACTATTCACAGTAGCCAAGATAAGGCATCAACCTAGGTGTCCAACAACAGATGAATGGATAAAGCAAATGTGGTATATATACACAATGGAATACTATTCAGCCATAAAAAGAATGGAATCCTGTCATCAACAGCAACAGGGATGGAACTGGAGGACATTAAGTGAAATAAGCCAGGAACAGAAAGCTAAGCACCACATGTTCTTACTCATATGTGGAAGCTAAAAGTAGCTGATCTCATAGAAGTGAAAAGTAGAACAGAGGATACTAGCTGCAGGGAAGGGTAGGAGGAAGATAGAGAGTTGTTAAGGGGTACAAAATTACAGCTAGATAGAAGGAGTCAATTCTAGTGTTCTATAGCACTGTAGGATGACTATATTTAACAATAATATACAGTTTCACTAATGCAGGAACAGAAAACCAAATACTGCATGTTCTCACTTGTAAGTGGGAGCTAAATGATGAGAACACATGGGCACATAGAGGGGAACAACACACACTGGGGCCTATCAGAGAGTAGAGGGTGGGAGAAGGGAGAGGATCAGGAAAATTAACTAATGAGTCCTAGGCTTAATACCTGAGTAATAAAATAATCTGTACAACAAACCCCCATGACACAAGTTTACCTGTGTAACAAACTGGCACATGTGCCCCTGAACTTAAAATAAAAGTTGACTTTAAAAAAAAGAAATTGGTTGTCTGATGAAAAAGAATGTGTGTATATATATACATATTATACAAAATATATACATAATATATAAAAAAGTATGTGTGTGTGTGTGTGTGTGTATATATATATATATATATATATATATATATATATATATATATATGGTTTCAAATAGCTGGAAGGAGGATATTGAACATTCCCAACACAAAAACATAATAAATGCTTGAGGTGATGGATATCCTATTTACCCTTATCTGATCACTATACATTGTATGTATCAAAATATAGCTATGTACGCCACAAGTATGTACAGTTATTACTTTTCAGTTTAACAATTTTTTAAAAATAAAGGGGCAATTTAATGAAGAGTGGATCAGCCCTCACAAGCTTAGAAAAATAAGAACCACTGAGGCAAAAGTTAATCATGGCAATTTAGAGCACTTTTCAGGGAGAGAGAATGTTTCAGTTCCTACTGTGAGGTTTCCAGGGAGCATCGTAGATGCACCGTCTTATTTTAGCCCAATGCTGTTCAGCATTCACACTGCATAGCTCCCTCTGTTCCCATTTCTGCTCACCATACAGGCTTTTCATTCTTATTCTTTCCCATTATGAATTTAAAATTATTTGCTAATTATAATTTGGATTCCCAAGTGGACTCATCTACTACAGACTTCAAGAGGAACTCCATGAGGAAACTTCTATACCTTGAAAGCCAAAGATCAAGTCCAGCCACCTTTCCTTTGAATAATGTGTCTCTACCACTTCCAACTGCGAGATACAACAATGCCTATAGCAAGCACATGAAATGAGTCAAGGGGAACTTAAAGGAAAACCCTCCTACATCTGCCCCAGAGGGGCGTTCTATCATGAACATAGCTGAAATTCTTATCACTATTCTTTCTTCTAAAAGTCCTGTGAATTATCTGGATAAAGGGGTTATAACAGGGCTCCTCATACCCCGGTTAGGAACCAAGCCACAACAACAAAAGGTAAGAGGCAGACGAGAAAGTGAAGCTTCATCTGTATTTACAGCTGCTCCCCACCGTTCATATTACTGCCTGATCTCTACCTCCTGTCAGATCAGCAGTGGCATTAGATTCTCATAGGAGTGGGAACCCTATTGTGAACTGTGTATATGCCTGATGATCTGTCACTGTCTCCCATCACCCCCAGATGGAACCATCTAGTTACAGGACAACAAGCTCAGGGCTGATTCTACACTATGGGGAGTTGTATAATTATTTCATTATATATTCCAATGTAATAATAATAGAAAATAAGTGCACAATAAATGTAATGCACTTGAATAACCCTGAAACCATCCCCCTCACCCCTCATCCCTGGAAAAATTGTCTTCCATGAAACTGGTCCCTGACAGCAGAAAGTTTGGGGACCACTGGGTTACAGAAGCTAGGAACGCTAGCTAACATAACATAAGTTTCTAAGTCTCTGTTCATTAAGCATTTTGGTTGCCGGGAACAAAGACTCACTCAAGTTGCCTGAAGAAAGGTGGGTGCCCTCATGCAGGCGGCATTCGAGAAGACAAAACATCCCAGAATCCAGGAAGGCTTGGGGGCAATAGAAGAGTCAAATCCAACTTGCAGGCCGGAAGATGATTATTTTGCCCCTCAGCATCAGGAGCTCCATAATTTTCCATTTTGTGTGCCACATTAATGGGGGTTAGCCCACTCTCCGTTTCTGCCTCTCTGTGTATTCCCTTCTGTTTTTGTTCTAACCACTTTCTGACATCTCTTTCCCTAAATATACATATTTTCAGAGAAGGAAAATAAGATTAGACCTCAAGCCCCCATCATCCGCGTTCAGGCAGATGAGGCCTTTGCAACATGCCTCCTTGGAAGCTGCCAGCCAGGCTCCCCTCACATCAGGTGCTAATTCTTCCAATCCCCTATGGTGAGGTGGGGCATGTGAGTGGTTAGAACCTGGCCACCTGTGCCTCAGGCACCCAGGAGGTCTGAGCATGGGGCAGTTCTTCTCAGAAGGAGCAATGGGTTGGCAGGAACCTGTAGGTTAATGGAGTCAGATAATTAATCCAAATGGAGACCCCAAATAGCGATAGTGGATAGGCTCCACCAGAATTTCCTGGAATCCTTTTAGAGATGCAGAACTCTGGGTCTCACTCCAGACCTACTAAATTAAAAGCTCTAAAATTTCAAGGGGAAGCATTAGAGAATACACACACACACACACACACACACACACACACACACACACACACACACACACAATTTTTAAATCTCCCCAGGTAAACACACCTTTGACCTTGTGAGGGAACAGAGAAATGTGAAGGATGGGAAAGGTGAGACTGAAAGTTAGGAAGTCTTCTTGATTCTTTTTTTTTTTTTTTCTTTTTTTGAGACAGGGTCTCACTCTTGTTTACCAGGCTGGAGTGCAATGGCACGATCTTGGCTCACTACAACCTCCGCCTCCTGGGTTCAAGTGATTCTTGTGCCTCAGCCTCCTGAGTAGCTGAGACTACAGAGACGTGCCACCACACCTGGCTCATTTGGTATTTTTAGTGGAGACCGTGTTGGCCAGGCTGGTCTCGAACTCCTGACCTCAAGTGATCTGCTCACCTTGGCCTCCCAAAGTGCTGGGATGACAGGCATGAGCCACTGCACCCGGCCAGGAAGTCTTCTGGATTCTACTAATAATTTTGTGGGGAATTCTGAGGTACTGCAGTGGAAGTGGGAGTAAAAACACATTTGTAAAGTAGAAGTGCTGACGTGAAGTCGTTTCTTTCAAAGAAATAAAAATATAAGGAATATGGTACTCTGTAGCTTCCAGAACTTACACAAATGAGTCTGAGAGACCAGCAGGAAATAATGTTAAGCCTAAACATCATAAACTTTTACTGTGGCATCAAACAAAAATTCAGAGTTTACTTCATTTTTTTCTCCCTGTTCTGTAACAGGTATAGTTAGTGAAATATCATAAGCAACACATAGTATTTTTATCAAATGCTACCTGAATTACAAATAAAATTTTCAGGAAATAATTTAAGAAAATCTTTCATTTTAATAGGAGGAAGGTACTGAACTATTTGGGAATGCTTTAAAGAAAGAGTTGCTTAACACAAATATATCCTAATAATCAGCACCACGATTACAAATAAACACATATTTCTTCTGGGTATTATAATCTTTATTACAAAACAAGTATTTTATGTTGAGGTAATATTTCAAATGGTATTTGTCAAAAATCAATTGAATCTTACATACAGAATTTTGCTCTGTAAAGGACTCAGAGAACAGTTTTTTTCTAGCATTGCACGCAAACTGATTTTAGAAAAAATAAAGCTAAAAAGTATCTACGTAAAGAGGAATTTCTTTCTCCCACTCTTCCTGACCCAATCCTTCTTATCATCACCAGTGATTAGTAAGGTGATGTTTATGGGAGTTCTACAAAAAAAAAAAAATGATGAATTGGTAAATTAATTGGGAGAAAAAGATTTTCTTATCCAAAACAACTCACTGTGCCATAATTTCAAAGTGCTTTTGCAAACTAAGTATTGAATCCTATAGAATTTACTATTATTTATCCCAAGAATAGAATTTCCCGGTCTCCAATGAGGAAACCCTATGCAACCTTCCAACTCCAATGTCTTCTGCTATGAAGCCCTCCCTCGTTCTCCAACGCATTGGTCACCCTTCTCAGTGTTCCCAGATAGATATCGTGTTCATAGCTCTCTGTCTTGGCACTCACCATACTGGGTTGTAACAATTCTTGTTTCTCTTATACATATCCCTCTTTAACTCTGTAGCTTTGTGGGTCCTTCTATACGCTCCTCAGGAGCAAGAAACAAGTCTTAACCTGCTTTACATTCTCAACACCTAGCATAGTGCCTGGTATATCATGGACACCCAATAGCTTTGTTTGTTACGTTGATGAATTAGGAACTATCTCAGCTGCAAAGTTATCATGCAGATCCTTTCTTGCTTCTAGCCTCTTTGGCTGTGTTCTGGTGTCACTCCACAGTATTTAAACCTCTGTGAAATGATGACACCCTAAAAACAAGTGTAATGTCCAGCAATTCCTTTCAGGAAAAATATGGCATCTGGTTATTCTTTTGATCAAAACATCAATAAATTATAGTTATCATGATACATTTTCAAGTCCCTAAGACTCCTTTATGTGACAACTGCTTCTTAGGACAGCTGATGCTAATAGCCGTCTTGGCAGTCATTGTCATCTTGGTCCCCAATGGGTTTGTTGTGATAGGCATCAACTGTTAATTTCCGGCTCTCTATCTCAATGTTTTTCAACTGGCCATCTTCCTCACTGCTTGATTTGCTCTCCGTGGAGTTGCTATCTTCTTTGGATCTGCTGCTGTCTTGAGAGTCACTGTCGTCTTCCTCAGAATGGCTTTCCTCGCTCTGACTCTCTGCTGAGCTGCTGTGAGACTGGAGGCCCTCCTGGCTGGAGCTGTTCTCATCCTCAGGGGACTCCGGGCTTTCCTCTGAGAAGTTGAGGCTCTCACTGGATTCGCTGTCTGCTTGCTCCTCTCTGGATTCACTTTTTGAGTGGGAGAGTGTGTGCGAGCTGTCCTCCTCGCTGGAGTCACTGTCTTCCTGGTCTTCTACATAACTAGTTGTGGGGTCGGGGTTATCTCCCCTGGACTCACTCACCACCTCTTCCTGAGACTCACTGCTGTTCTCTTGAGATGACAGGTTGGCCTCTTGGCTGGACTCACTGCTGGGACCATCTACGTTTTGGCTCTCTTCCTGGGACAGATTCTCCTTGCTGTCTTCTTGAGAGTCACCCTTGCTGTCTCTCCTGGGTTGGCTGAGGCCAGTGTCTCTGGAGTTGCTGTTTTCTGTAGAGTCACTCTTGACTTCTTCCATTGTGTTGTTGTCATCAAGCTCGCTTCTGTCATCTTCCTCTGAGATGCGAGACTTCCTAAAAATTTTCCTACTGGGATGCTCCAGCAATTGGCTGCCACCTGAATCTTGAGTGTTTGCTTGCTCACTGTTTTCTCCAGATTCTTTTGATTTCATGCCTGCACTGTTCATTCTGGAGTTTCCCCTTTCACTCCTGATGCTCTCTGGGTCATCACTCTGCATTCCCTCATCGTCCAACTCGGAGCCGTCTCCATGGCTGCTCTCCCCATCACTGCCACCTCCCACCCAGTGCTCTTCACTCTCACTCTCTTGAGTGGAGTCACCTCCCTCAGGCTTGCTGTCCACCCGGTCCTCATTGTCAAGTTCCCTGCTCTCACTGGTGGTATCTTGGGCACTGTCTTGCCCTTGTGGGGCACTCTCTTCACTGGCTTGTATGGTGTCATCAGAGTCCTCATCACTTCCCAGTCTGGAGTTTCCTCCTTCTTGTCTGTCTTTGGGCCCTGGGCCACTGTCATCGTCACCAAAGGTGTCATCTCCACTGTCATCTTCATCGTCATCTTTATCATCTCCTCCTTTTCCTGTGCTCCTGGAGAAGCCACCAGCTAGCCTATAAATGTATTGATGATCATCAGAGCCCAGGCCCTCCTCTGACTGAGTGCTGTCACTGGGGTCTTCATTTGCCTAGAATTTGGGGTTAACAGATATGGTCAGTATTCCAGGAACCGATAGAGAAGGAGTTATCTAGAGCCTTTCTAGTCTTTCTGCTTCCTTCGCCCTACATCCCCTCCTCTAATCTACGGTCAGTTTTACTACTCAATAACCTCTCTACCAGAGCTTAAATAGGAAGGAAGAGGAATTGAAACTCAAGTGGTTCCATTTTATATAGGCACACTTCACTCAATGCTGCCAACATTTTCTCAAAAAGCTTTCTGGAAATCACATTTATGAAATTCAAATCATACTGTATATATAATTCCTTAAAAAAAAAAAAAAAACTCTTGGGCTGGGCAAGGTGGCTCACACCCATAACCCAGCACTTTAGGAGGCCGAGGTCAAGAGATCGAGACCATCTTGGCCAACATGGTGAAACCTCGTCTCTACTAAAAATACAAAAATTAGCAGGCCGGGCGCGGTGGCTCACGCCTGTAATCCCAGCACTTTGGGAGGCCGAGGCGGGCGGATCACGAGGTCAGGAGATCGAGACCATCCTGGCTAACACGGTGAAACCCCGTCTCTACTAAAAAATACAAAAAATTAGCCGGGCGAGGTGGCGGGCGCCTGTAGTCCCAGCTACTCCGGAGGCTGAGGCAGGAGAATGGCGTGAACCCCAGGGGGCGGAGCCTGCAGTGAGCCGAGATTGCGCCACTGCACTCCAGCCTGGGCGACAGCGAGACTCCGTCTCAAAAAAAAAAAAAAAAAAAAAAAAAAAAAAAAAAAATTAGCTGGCTGTGGTGCCACAAACCTGTAGTCCCAGTTACTTGGGAGGCTGAGGCAGGAGAATCACTTGAACCTGGGGGGCAGAGGTTGCAGTGAGCCGAGATCGAGCCACTGCACTCCAGCCTGGCGACAGAGCGAGACTCCGTCTCAAACAAACAAACACACACACAAAAAAACCTCTTAGGTAATTGTTTGTGAATTAGAGTTGGTTTATAATGCTCATGCATTAAAGTGTTTGGTGTGAAACAGAGTTTTTAAAAATATTGAGTGATCTTAAAATGACCCCAATTTTTTTTCTTCTGGAGGGAAAAATGTACTAGGACCAGAGGATAAAATCTTTAGCTAAAATGAAAATTAAATATTATAGTAAGGTATATACTTCACCCAAACCATGTTTCTACCTCGTTAGTACAACCAGAAAGTTGCCTATAGATGATTCAGCTAGAAGACACCAACTAGTGTGACCAACAAGGCAACTTAGTGCTACGTGGGAAGTCAGAGAGGTGAGCCCTGTAAGTAAAACAATTGGATGCTCTGTACCAGTAAGGAAGGACAGTGAGTCTTCATACATTATGCTCCCAAAATATCTGCTCTCTTTACCATACCCTACAACAGAGCATACCTGCTAGTTTTTGTTTTGTTTTGTTTTGTTTTTACACATCCCTACTGATCAATGTCTGAGTCTGTAATTGGGTGATTGGGAGTACTTGTGTATATGCTGTTGACCTCTCTTCCTAGCACTGGAGTTTTATGCTAGTATGGTGGAACTGAGCATGGGTTTAACCTGCCATACCTCGTTAACCCAACTCACAAGCAGGAACTGCAGGAATCACCATACCTCATTACCCTTTCTCAAGCAGGAATTGCTACCGTAACTTGAAAGCTTACAGACCCTTGAGACAACAAATCACAAAGTCCCCAGCAAACGGCATTTCTCCAGTTCTATGCTTTTAAATTTCTAGAATGTTCCTTTGATAACCTTAAGTAAATAGGGATAAACAGGCTAATAATTCATCTTCCAACTCTGGCTAAGTGTAGAATGCAACATGGATCAAAGCCTTAGGGAGAAACCTGGCTCCTGGACTCTCTGGAGCCCCACAGGATTGAGTTTGGTCAAAACAATAGCATAGCTAAGAAAGTAACAACACTTAGTCTTAGAAAAATGAAAAAGAATGCCAGCTTTAAGGGATATAAACTGAGTCTGCCTTTCTCACTCCCAGAGCCCAGTCCCACAGATGGGACTATTTTCGAAGAGAAAGTCATCACTGAAGCAGTTCTTTTCATTAAAGTTTCCTCAGGGCTGTCCTGTTCTGTCTTCGAGCAGGATCCTTGACACATAGAAGCTCCCAGGCACTTCTTCACCTGAGCTGAACTGCTCCAATTGTAAAAGCAACATTTTAAGTTGATGAGCAAGTTTGACATGGTCAATGACCATTTGTGAGTGTGTGTGTGTGTTTCTGCGCATGTGTTTATGTTTTAACTAGGAGAGACATTTGGGGCCACAGTGCCAGCAATCTAGGCTCAGTGATGAAAATAAGATGAATAGCATGTCTGCATGTGAATTCTCCTTACTCATTTTTCTCTTCTTACTTTATAGGACTCTTTAGCCAGCATAACTCATAGTTAGAAAATATTATATTTAGAACTGTCGCCAGGTAATTTAATCTAACATCATTTCCTTCCATTCCTAAGTAGCCTGAAAAGTTAAGAAAGGTCTGTTTAATTACCTGTTCCTCTGAGCTAACTTTACTGCCTTCTGATGACTCACTGCTCTCCTGAAAGGGGAAAAATGTTTACTTTTCTTTTTAGTAATTCCTTAGGAAAGAAAAAAACATGATACACATCAATTGCTTCCAGTCTGGATTTACTACTTTCAAAATTGTAAAAGGCAACTGGAAGAGTGTTAAAGTTACTTCATGAGATGTTTATGACAAAAGTAAATGAGATAGTTACCAAGGGTGGTGTTGGTGCCTGAGCCAAATGACCCTGCAAAAAAGGAAAGGAAGGAAAACAAATTACTCCCTCACAGATGGATTTCATTATTGTAATTATTTACAATAATTTTAGGTTATTATTTTTAGTTTCTTGGTAGAGATCTTACATTTACATGAGTAATAGTGAAATTTTATGATGAAATGGTTCCAAAAGGAAAGTAAAATGACTAATGGCTTGAAAAGATCTTGGGATATAAGAGACCTAGACAATGTTTATATTTCTGATATTTCATTTACAGAAATAAATATGCTTTTTTGAACCTGGCCGTTCATACAACCTAGAGGAAACGTAACACAGGAAAAGCAGCATTGAAACTCAGAATCCAGATTTAAGTCTCAATTAACTCACTGGTTTTGGTTTTAGCCCTGAAAACCAATCATCTTGGTGTTAGCACTGAAAGTCATGTGTTCCAGGAAACCCCTAAGTTCCAGGTAAACCGAGATGGTTGGTTACTCTAGGTGAAGGTGGGCAATTCACTTCACGTGTCTGACCACCAGTTTCTTATTCATAAATTAAGGAAATTAACACCCACTGTGCTTACCCCACAAGGTAGTTATGAAGATGAAACCAGCTAATGCCTATGGAAGTATCTCGAAAACTATTTATTCAACATGATATAAACTAAAGAAAAAATCCATTTGATAACATCCACCTTATAAAATTTAATAGTAAACAAAACTGAATTGAGAAAGCCATGAAACCCTTCTCGAGTCATGTAAAAGCCCTGGTATTAAAAACAAATGCTAAATCAGAAATTTAACTAGTCATACCTCTAATTTATTTCACTATCTTTAGTCTCATAAGCACTATAAGAATGCCTTAGCAACTTCTGGTACCCCTCCCCATCACTTCTTCCCCTTCCCCTTGAGGAGGGCAAAGTCCTGTGTGGAACACCCAAGGCGCAAAGTAGAGCAGGGAGGAGCTGCTATTGACATGTCTTCAACGTGCGTTTCAGAGGTGCTGGACTGGGGGTATCTCCTTAGGGAAAGGAGCTATAATCACGCTGTCTTTGGCCTGCAACACTGCAGGCAGGCACAATGGCAGGCTGTGCTCCAGTCAATTATCATTTGGAATTAATGGGTGGAAGGGAGCAAGACATTGTTATTTTTCTCATGCCAAGGCTAGACTTGAGAACAGGGCATGTTTGTGCGTCTCTGGTTAAATGAGAGAGAGGATCTAGAGTGTCTGCTTTTAAATTAACCAGCCTATGGATTTCTCTGAAGAAAGTTCATAATAAATACTGCAAAGTCTATTCCAGACTCAGGCATGGACAGGACCCCACCTCAGGTCACTGACATTATCTGGCCACCACCAAAAGCATTGGGGCCAAGCTTTATCATATGTAAAAGCCAGTAGGAAACACAGTAGTGAACAAAATGCTCTGATTTCGCATAAGATTTTAACCCTTAGTGCCAATCTTGAGAATTTTCTGACCTCTTAGACCTGGCTCCTTCCTGAGAGGGATATGACACACTGGTTAAGAATGTGGATTCTGGAGCTAGAGTGACGTAATATCAAAGTCTGGCTCTAACACTAATTGACCATGTAACCTAGACGATTGAATTACTCTCTGTGATCAGTTTTCTCATCTGTAAAGTGAGAATAAAACATAATACCTAATTCACAGAGGTGTGAAAATTAAGAAAGTTAATATATGTAAAACACTCAGAACTGTGCCTGGCAATGATTCTTGAGTTATTGAGAGTTAGTAACTCTCAATATAATAACATGCTAGCAACATTAGCTCTCATTCCAGAGACTCTAGTGTCCTCTCATTCTTCTTTCTTTTTTCACCTTCCAGGACTTGACCTCTTGCCCACCAGATAACTCTTGTTAAAACAGATTTCAAGTCATAATCTCTCCTGAAGACTCTTGATTCATTGTCATGCATCCCCTGGTACTATTATACACATCCATTATAAGAAGAAAGCTAACAGAAAATATGCTTCCTTGCCAGAGTATACTACTAAGTTGGAATCACAGCAGTATTTTCTTCTATGAACTCTATAGCTTAGCTTATTAATATGCTGATGAAGTCATTAGCAGTTTCAATATTTGCAATGAAATCAATTTGGTTATACTCATAATAAATTAAAATTAAAATATTTCAAAAAGTCATATTTCTACTCACCTTCCATTCTTCAGAATCCTCAGATTCATTATTTTGATACCTGGTTACCTAGAAAATTTAGTACACATGGTAAATCCAAAGAGAAATTTCTAAAGCAATAGTTATTAACACATTTCATACATAGGAGTAGGGATAGTCAAATTTTAGGCTGCATCAGAATCACTGGGAGGCCTTGTTAAAACACTGATTTCTGTTTCCTATCCCTAAAGAGTCTGGCTTAGCAGCTCTGAGGTAGGGTCCAAGAATTTGGATTTCTAACAAGGTCCTAGTTGATGCTGATGCTGGTGGTTCCAGGATGACACTTTAAGAAGCACTGCTTATAGGGAAGAAAAGTATGAATGATATCTATGTGAATGGCAACTGAACAGAATAAAAAACACCTTGAATGATATTTCTTAAGAAAACAGCATGCTAAGAAACTACTATTTTTACTGGACTGGAACATACACAGCCATCTTGGTTCATAGCCAATCAAAATTGTGGAGTTTTAAGTATGAAAGGGTTTTTTCATATATCCCTACCCTAATACTTACTGGGAGAGCACAGGATAATCCCCAAAGGAACATGAGCAGGATGCTGATCTTCATAGTTGGGTGTGATACCTCTACCTGGAATGAAGGACATAGATGTTTCTCTCCATGTTAAAGGAATAAAGTAGTTTCAACTTTTTAACAGTTTCTTCCTACTAAAAATTCATCCAAATGTCCATGAACTGATGAATGGATAAATAAAATTTACTGTATCTATAAAACAGAATATTATTCAACCATAAAGAGGAATGAAGTACTGACATGTGCTGCAGAGTAGAGGAAACTTGAGAACACTATGCTAAGTGAAAGAAGCCAGATAAAAAGGCCACATTGGAATGATTCTATTTACATGAAATGTCCACAATAGGCAAATCTACAGAGACAAAAAGTAGACTAGTGGTTGCCCAGAGCTTGTGCAGATGGGAGGTTGAGGGGTGACAGCTAATGGGTACAGGATTTCTTTTGGAGGTGATGAAACTGTTCCATGTATTGTAGTGAAGGTTGCACAACTCTGTGAACATACTGAAAACCACTGAGCTATACACTTCAAATTAGTGAAGTATGTGGTGTATAGATTATAACTCAACAAAGTGGTTTTTAAAAACCTCACTCCTAAGAAATAAATTGAAAATGTTTCAATGAGGAGATGTACAAACGCTAACACATAAAGTATGATAAATTGACGAAAAAGTAAAGAAAGAGGAATATAGAAATTTCTATCCATTCCCTTTTACAATAATTATGCAGCTTGGTATGGCAGAGCACCCTAGCAAATGTATTCTCCCTAAAAAACTACACTTATTGACACCAGTGATAGGTGGTGGGCATTTGTTTTCACACACACACAAACACACACATACACATACACACACACACACACAATGGCTTCTAAGTCACATTTATGACTGCATAATAATGTCTACACAAAATAGATTTTTTTTTGCTTTTTTTGTGATCTGCAAGAGATGCGCTAGAGTAGGCTTCATATTACAACTTCAGAAAGCTCTTAATATCTACTGTGACACGTTTAGTCATACATTATACATAATTATGCTAAATTATTTTTGCTGTCATTCACAGTACTGAAGGATTTGGGGAAGATTACAGGTTTGGGATACACTTGTAAATCATGCTGAGAGAAACACGCCAAATCAAACTATTTTTCTGGAGGGTAACTTCATTTCACACTTCAAGAGCTGTTGCTTTGGAAAACACTTTGTTTTGTATTTAAAAATAGAAGTACTAGATGCTAAAGTAAAAATTTATTGAAATGGTTTAAGGAACGCAATTTACCCTGCACTAGTAAGCCCTGGTAGCTGCCCTAGCATACTTGTCTGATGAACTTCCATACATTTCACAAATAATCCTGCAAGTTTATTTCACGTTTGTCGATTTGTTTCATTTCTTTAAATGTTAAATGTATACTGTGAAAGGAAAATAAAATCTTGGGACCCCAAACTCACTAAGTCAAAGGGAAAGTCAACCTAGGAACTGGGTCACTCAAACCTGCCTCCCATTTTGTTCTTAAAAAGATAGCTACAAGGATAAAAGGCTACATACCTCCCTCACAATTTTCTCACAGGGAAATTCCTGTGGGCCCTGAGATCTTTACCCCAAAACAGTCTGGTTGAATTTCACCCTCACAATGTAAATTAACAGCTTACCTTCATAAGTTCAGGACAAAGGACAGAACTAAAAGTCATTCCTCTTCTCACCTGAGACAGATGCATGTCTGACAGCTTCCTCTAGTCTATGTTTACTTTATCTTATGTAGAAATGCAGATTCACTGAGCATGAGACAAATGCATAATTGACTATTCCTCTACCCTCTCCTTTCACATATAAAATGTGGGCTCAGTGAGCACTAAACAAAGACTCAAAGGAATGCAACCACTTGCCTCTTTTATCTGTCCTTCCTTTCTCCTATTGCCTGTTCTTTCCCCTTTAAATACTGAAGTCCTCGGACTCTTTGTAAACAAACATGGACCATAGATGTTTCTGGTAGTTTTGTGTTCATTTTTCCCAGGTGCATCCTCAATTTTGGCAAGATAAGTCTCCAAAAATAATTGAGACTCACCTCAGTCATTTTCTTTGATTTGCAATAGTTTACTGGTATAGGAACTCAGAAAACAATACTCCATAATGAAGGCCTCAGAAGCAGCCTCAGAAGCAAAAGCTTCTCTCTGACCTTCCCCTGCCCTCCTATCTCTGGCCCCTCATTCTCCCCTGAGACTAACCATAGAAACTAGAATCCCTCTTTCCCAAAGGCAGGTTATAGAAACCAGAACCTCTTTTCCCCAAAGCCAGCAATAAAACCTGAAAATATTACCCTAAGTCCCCCTGTCTTTCTGTGTAACAACTGGCCTTAAAGAAATTCTCTGACCCCCCTAGTTTAATTGTATGTCATAAGACCCGCATTGCAGAGAAGGTCCTGTCCCATATCAAGAAGGAAGAAATGCTGCACGGAGAGGCCAAGAAGAATCTGGACAGGCTTTGCTGGGCCACCCCACTTGGTCTACTAGTATAAGGTCAAAACCTTTTTGTCCAATCATATTTCTACATGGCTGCCCATGTTTTGTTGGACATAAGCATAAAGATGGACAGTTTCTCCTGTATCTTTAGGTCTTCGTTCTGAAGGCTCCTGTGTCACATAAAAATAATTTTGTATTCCTTTTCTCCTATTAATCTATATTTTGTCAGTTGATTTTCAGCAAACCTTCAGAGGGTGAGGGGGAAGTTTTCCCTTGGCCCCTAAAATAATGATAGGAGTTAAAAGCCAAAGATTCTCAACCCTAAATATATATTACTATCAACTGGGAAGAGTTTTAAAAATGCCAATGCACAAATCCCATCCCAGGGCAATAAATCCATTCACTTGGGTGGGCACAGGAATAGGTTTGTTTTTAAAGTTCCACAAGAGATTTTAACACTTGATCTAAGAATTAAAAATATCATAATTAACCAGGCTTGGTGGCACGTGCCTGTAGTCCCAGCTACTCAGGAGGCTGAGTGGGGAGAATTCTTTGAGCCAGGGAGGTTGAAGCTGCACTGAGCCATGATCGTGCCACTCCACACCTGTTTGGGTGACAGAGCAAGACCCTATCTCAAAAAAAAAGTATATATATATATATATATATATATATATATATATATATATATATATCACTCGATAATGCCTGAATATGCTGAATATTGTCTGAAACATTGGGCTCAAGAAGTCATCTAATCTTATTTTTAATGTATTCAATAAAATAATAGAAATCCTAAGATAAGGAGCCTGAACAGGCTTCTCATTTCTGCTTTCACACAACTCAAATGGTCAAACAACCTCTCATGTATATTATGGGCATTATCTCTCCTCAGCATAGTTATTCTTAATTTGTGCTACTTTCTTTATTCTAATTCGCATAGTGTATATCAGTCCTTATGTTTGATACTATCTTAATTTCTTTTAAAAATCCTTCAATTAATATCAACAGAGAAAAACATATGAAAATGCTTAACTATACCAAAATCAAGCTTAATTTAATAGATGTTACTTCTCTTTAGATACCACAATCAAAACTTTTTAAAAAATGTGTTAGGTTTATTTCTTCAGGAAAGCAAAATTTTCTCAAATATGATATTCTCAAAATAACCCTTTCAATGCTTTCAGTTTCACAGATCAAATGAAAGTTACCTCATCATTTTAATTTTCAAAGTGAAATTTGAATAGGGTTATAATTTCATGATTCTCTGAAAGCTAGCAAATGTTAGAGCCTTGACAGAAGGTCAATGACTATTGAATTCTCTTGTATTTTCTTTAGCTTCTCTAATCTAAATAATTAGAAAACTGGGGATGCCATTGTGCATTTATTCTAAACCAATGAACGTTGTGTTTTCTCACAAAGAAGTGCATGCCCCAAGTGCTCAAGTTTCTTAGGGATGGAAGATTCTAAAACACAAGAAAGATGCCCTAACTTGCTCAGGATTCTAGAAATACTCGTTAGCATCCTGACCTAAAGCAATAATTTCCCAGATGCAAGTCTAGTAAACTAAAATAAAAGACACTCTAGAGTTCTGAGAGAGCTGATGTTGCCACCCAAAAAATATAGTCCAACTGTAAGCATTAAAGAAAATCAGATCTTAAACCCCTTGTTAGGTTTGCATTTGGTATTTCTGATAAAAATAATTATAATTTTGTGAAGTGCATTTCCAAACAAGAGCTCCAAACTTTTATAAACATTTTGGCTACTATTCAAAAAAGAGTAGAAGCAGATAGGCAGTAGCCATATTCTGAATAATAAATGTGAACCACAGCTACAAGCCTGCAATTAAAAGTCCAGAACTTTGAGTTCTTCTTCAGTGATTGGTTAATGTTATTTCTACATTCTACATGCTGTCATTCTACAGTGAGATGACGTAACAAAAGGAAATAAACAACTTGAGTTCCATCCATTTGGAAGGCGGTGTATTAGAGAATTTCTGCCCCTGTGAATTGTTTTCATAGAGTTGAAAAGAGCCAAATGTTTAGAATGTGGAGAGGGAAACTAAAGTCAAGATTTCAGGTGTGTAGCCAAAACTTCTTTCGGCTCTTAAGTAAGGAAATTTGTTCTAGCATTTTCTCAAGGTTAAGATACATTTGTAAAATATATATCTTCTTTTATGTAAACCAAAATGAAGGAAATAGGCCAAAAGAAGAAAATAAAGGTTTGAAAAGTCATAGACTCTTTTTTCTTTTGGAAAACAATTCATCATATTAATTTGCTTTATTTGTCTTAGTATTGTTATCTTCAAGAACACAACTGAACAATACATTCATTCATTAGCAGTCAGTAAATATTTATGAACATGCAATGTGTTAGGCACTTTTCTAGCCCATATTCTCAAAACCAACAATTTAAGAAACTCTAATATTTTGGTAGCTTTCTCCATGTACAACCTGTAAATGTACATTAGCAGGAAACTTTAATAATAATAAACAATAATAATAAAATAAGTTGGTTTTATAATAATAAAATTAACCAGAATCCAACTAACTAGAACCTGCTAGAATTTGTTTTCTTATTACTCTTTGAAAATAGAATCAAACTTGGCCAGGATATGAACTCTACCAGGAATCCAGAGAAACAAACAAACCAAAAAAAAATCCAATTCTTCCTATTGTATGTGTCTTCAGGTCAATTACGATGAATCCAATATTATATGCTTTTAATCACAGGAATATACCTCTGAGGTGCCCCCAAAATTAAATATAGATTTGGAAGGCCTCTAAGCATCTGAGGCACATTGTTTTACATCACCATTTTCAGGTAGGTAAGTGGACTAATACCCTTTAGAAAATAGTTTGTTCGCATTTTTAAACAACAAAGTTAAAATAAGATAGTCAAGCCTCAGTTAAACAGAAAGTATGGTTAACCACAAGTTACTGCTCTTAAGGAAGACAAGTTGCTAAAACACATGGACTCTTCTAAACGTCACACAGATGAAGAAGTGCACTAAATACAGTAAATAAAAATACATATGGACATTTTAAAATATATGTTTTAAAATGCAATATTTTAAAATATAATTATATTCAACATTTATTGAATTCTAACTGTATTCAAGGCATCATGCTAACATGAATACAAAAAACATAATTATCACACCCTCAGTTATTTCAGTAGTTTAATCATCTTTTAGTTACTTATGCAGTTCATAATAAATGTTACTAGATGCTCTCTAGATGAATAACATTTTAATTTAAAAAAAATTCTTTTTAAAGTCCTGCCATTCAATAAGTTTAGCTTTTTTTTCACAATCTTGTAGGTTGCAAACATTCCCTTATTCATGAAACACACTGTAAAAGTTTTATACGTTTTGCTAATTAAAACTAAATTTCAAAATGACCTTCCATCTGCCTCCTGTTCTATAAACTATCCCTTTTAGAAGTGTCATGCAGAGATCTAATTAAAGCATTACCAAGAAAAACACCTGGCTGTATTGTCTTAACATGTCATTTTCATATCATTATTTACTGTGGCATAAACAACAGGCACAAAAATAGGAACTGTTTTTACCCAAAGCGCAGCTCTCCCATCTCTCTCTACATGGTATAATGCCTCAAACATGTATACATATTTAATATTTTCCAAACAACCAGCAAAAGTCATTTTAAAAAATTAAATGATGAAAATGACTTACCCTCCGTAGTTCACAAAGAATTTTTTCAAAAAGTCTCAAAAATCAGGTTGATGTTCTCAAAGAGGAAATCTATGCCCAATGAAGCCACTCTTGTGTTGATATTCTGGACACTTCTCTGATGGTGCAGGAATTTAAACTCTGCTGCAGCTCTTCATAGCCAATCAACCTCAGGCTGGGGGTGACTGACATCACAAGGTGTCACCGGGACCCCGGTACACCCACACTTCCTCCAGCTGGCAGAGGCACATTTTCCCTAAAAAGCTCTTGTGGTTCCCAAATGACTAGACTAGTTTCCATTAAATTGAAGATCTTCCCAAAACTTTATTTTGATTTCTAAATATATGTCATTCACATTCAGGCAGTCTTATGAACAATGACAATGTCTTCTACCCACCGACAGATCCCAGCAGACCCAAGGATGGGAAAGGCGGAGGCAGGGGTGGGTAGAAAGTTTCCTGTTAATGTACATTTCCAGGTTGTACATGGAGAAAGCTACTAAAATACTAGAGTTCCTTAAATTGTTGGTTTTGAGAATATGGGCTTTTATTTCTTCCTTTTTCCTCTTTTAACAACCTCTACTACTCACCTCCTTTTCCTCTCATCTCCCCACCCCCATATACACACAAAGTTCCCAAACTCCTACTAATCTAATAAAGCGTCCACTAAAGTACCCCCCTTAAGTAGCTATTGTGTTATTCAAGAAATTTAGATCTAACACTTAACACTTAATCATTCCCTGTTTGCCACATTTTAATGATTCTTTGAAATCAGAATTGGATTAAGGGGAATACTAGCTGGGTAGCATCCAAGGAAACTAATCTTGAAGGGACTCTGTGCCACCACTGAAAATGTAATGAAATGGATAAAATGATATTTACCAAAACATTTTCGAGGAAGCGTACTAAAAGTTGTAGGGAGCTGGAAATGGGTTTGGCAATTTCCCAGGAGCGTGTTCAAGTGACGGCAGGATGGCCACTGAACAAGAATTTAGAGAATATCAGCTGCTGGACCTTAATTTCCTTAAGAGTAGGGATGTTTGCTTGTCTACTGATCTATAATCAGTGCCTGGATACCTAGAACAGTTCTTAATAATCACTCAGTACTCTTTGAATGACTGAGTGGATTGGCTTGAAAATTAGCCAAACTATTAACTTGATTACAGTATCTGCATAACTCACTGTAACTTTTAAAAAAATGCTTTAATTGTTAAAAAAAAAATTGAGCTGATGCTCCTAACATGGATCTAGAAAATTAGAGTGCCCAATTTATTCAGGCAACTAATGTCAGATATATGGATTATCAACATATTTAGTGTGAACTATAATATGCGGGGGAGGGTGGTGCAGACAATGAGGAAAGAGATGTCTATTTTCATTTAGGGTTGATTAGAAAGCCAAAGTCCATATGGGGAAGCTATAAATTCCCTGTGATTTGCTCTGGTTCTGAATTACACTCTCTGATGGTTTCATGGGTCTTAACTGAGATCTATGCTAGAAGAACCTTATAATCTTATGACAGAATTGGATTCTGGGCAGATTTGGGCAGATTGCATTACAAGACATTATTTTAGACTCTCTTCAAATCCCTACATAAAAACAGAGGAGCAATTAGATAACAAAATTGAAAACTGTGGATAACATTTACAATAAAACTAGGCATTTTTGTTATCTATTGCTATATCAAAAACCACTTCAATACTTTGCATTTTAAAACAACTACCATTTTCTTATCTCTCACAGCTAGCATTGTAGTCATCTGAAGACTCAGTTGGGGCAGAACATTTCAGATGCCACTTTCATAGTTGTTACCTGAGAGCTCAGCTGGAGCTGTAATTCTGAGCACTTTAGTTCTTTACATGGCCTCTCCTTGGCTTGGCCTTCTCACAACCTGAAGGCTGGGGGCCAAGAGTTCCTAGAATATCATTTTTCCATATTCTGTTGGTCAATCAATCACAAGGAGATCTCAGATTCATAAGGAGAAATACTCTCTACCTTTTGGTGTCAGATCAGGATGCACATGTATAGGGAGCAGAGGAAACGTTGAGGTAGTTTTTGATTAGTTACCACCCCTTATGACAAGTTATATCCACTAACTCCAAGGTGACTAAGGACAAAGTCCACAACTGCCACAAGACCTAGAGAGTCTATGCAGGAGTGAGCGGAGGAAAGCAGCAGGAAATCTGATGAACATGAGAACAGCAGAACCCAAAGCAGTCAAGAATTATTGCTGATGGGTGCCAATGGTTCATAGCACAGCTGAAGGATCTAGACCAGTCTAGCCCCTAAGGATTCTAAGCCACTACAGCTGCTTTCTAAGACAGACTCACATACAGGAGAAACTTCTGGGAGTGGAATAAAAATTGCACAGGATATAGACAATAGAGAAGACACAGATAAATATGGGAGAGGGGAATGGATCCAAGAAATCTTAGAAAGCTGCTATTTTTTTTTAACATAACACGAAAGCAACAGAAGAGGGAGCCGTGTGAAGTTTGAAAGTTACCCTGAACCACATTTCTTTCTAAAAGTACAGGAAAACCACTTTCATATAAAACAAACAGCAAAAAACTATGAAGGTTAAATCCCATAGGAGCAGAATAACAACCTGATAGACAAAGTATGCTTAAAAGACATAATTAAATAATAAATTAAAACCCTAAGCTTCTATTTTTAAAATAGTAAAGAAGTATCAAGAAAATGACACAATAGGTGAAAAAAATACATGGAAACTAGAATAATTCAGAAAATAAATATCAGGACTCAGGAAAATATTAGCATGAAAGAAAAAATTATTTTAGAAATGAAAACTAATCTAGAGGGAACACAAAAGAGAATAAATATAATAGGTAATTATTCAATGGAAGTAGAAGGCAAAAAAGAGGGAAATATTTTAAAGTTAAAAAAATAAATAAATAAAAAGTATTTGGGAAAAAGTGAATTATATTAAAGATTGGCAAAGAACATCCAAATTGTAGATTATAGGAGGCCTAAAGAAGATAACAAAAGTGAGAGAACAGCAGAAGTACTAAAAAACAAACGAATAACAAACATATCATCGAAGGAAGTTTCCCTGAATTTAAAAAAAGAAGATTAAAAACTCTCATTTAAAGAGCATATCATGTACCTGAGAATATTGGCCCAAAATGACCAACACCAAAACATATTCTAATAAAATTACTGAACTTTGAAGGTAAAGTCCTTTGGGCTTCTAGGCAAAAGCAACAAGTGATTCATAAGGGAAGGGATATTAGATTATCATTAAGACTTTGACAGTAATGCTTCATGCCAGGAAAAATAAGGTAATATACCTAATGCATTCAAGATAAGAAAATGTGAAGTAAGGATTTTATAAGTCAGCAAACTGACTTTTAGGTATGAGAGGCTAAAGCAAACTGCTATCAACAGGCAAGAATTCAAGGAATATTATTTTCTCAAACCATTGCTGGGGAATCTACTAGATAAAGAGTTTCAGTCAACCAAAATAACTAGAGAGGCATTGTCGTAAGAACAGGTGATAAACATAAAACATATAGTTACTTGTAAAAATGTAATTAAGTGAGGCTAAACGGGAGACAGCACGGTATATAATAACTAAATACTTAGCATTGATATAGTGCAGCTTTTAAAAAGGTGGGGAGAACGGAGAGCATATGTGCAAAAATAATTTCAACTGCTCTCAATAATTATACTAGTGATGGCAATATTATTGTTATTCTGAGAATGTTGTATGTATAATGTGGAATAAAGTATATTAGTAATTTTGAATTATTCTCTTTCTTTAACCAATGCATCCATGAGAATCAGGATTCTCAGTGTGAAAGAAAGGAGATACAAATTTGATACAAAAGAGCAAAAGCCCTTTGGGAGGCCGAGGCCAGCAGATACCTTGAGCCAGGAGTTCCAAACCAGCTTGGGCAACATGGTGAAACCTCATCTCTACAAACAGTACAAAAAAATTAGCTGGGCGTGGTGGCTCCCACCTGTAGTCCCAGCTACTCAGGAGGCTGAGACAGGAGGATTGCTTGAGCCCAGGAAGTCAAGGCTGCAGTGAGCCATGATCACACCACTGCACTCCAGCCTGGGTGACAGAGTGAGACCCTGTCTCAAAAAAAAAGAGTAATGAACTCCATAATCCTATAATCCTGAATTTAAATGGAAAAGATTAGAATTTACTCAGGGATTATTATAAAGACACACTCACGCACACACACACATATCCTACATGTATATCTTAGCTCTGTCACTATAGAGACCTAAAAACACAGTCATAGCTAGGACCCCTAGAACCCGGATTATGATCTAGCATCTGGGGCCTGTTGGGAAATTGGTTGATACCAGGTCTATGACCCAAAATATGCAAGATGAGTTTGGAACATATTGTCGTCCCAGATTCCAGGAAAGCTATCAAAGATTACTAAGATTCTGTCAAAGGACTCAGGAGCCAACTCAAATAGGCCTCTACTGGCCAAAGATGGAGCAATGTAGTCTTTAAAATAGATAATTTTAAATCTCTGAGTTCATAATGATATTACAAAAATGAAATAGAATACTAATTGGTCACCTTGGGATGATAACAGGAAGCCACTTCATGACCTTGAAAACTTATAAGTAAGTGGAAAGAATGAGGTATTTGTGCAGACCTCTATGAACTAAACCAAATTAGACATGAGGGGAAGCTTATCTTTGTAAAAGAATTGTGTGATGATTAATTTTAGGTGTCAACTTGACTGGATTAAAGAATACCTAGAGAACTGGTAAAGCATTATTTCTGGGCATGTCTGTGAGGGTGTTTCTAGAGGAGCTTGTCATGTGAGTCTGTGGACTTGGTGAGAAGCATCTGCCCCTAGTATGGACAGGCAATATCCAGTCTGCTGGAGACCCCGATAGAACAAAAAAGGAAGCAGAAAAATGATTTCCTCTCTCTCTCCTGGAGCTGAGACATTCTTCTTCTCCTGCCCTTGGACATCACAACTCCAGCTTCTATGGCCTTTAGGCTCCAGGATTTATACCAGGCTACTCCTCCTGACACCCAGGTTCTCAGACCTTGGGCCTCAGACTGAGAGTTACACCATCAGCTTCCCATGTTCTGAGGCTTTCAGACTTGGACTGAGCCACACTACCCTCATCACGGGGTCTCCAGCTTGCAGGCTGCATGCTGTGGGACTTCTCAGCCTCCATAATCACATGAGCCAATTTCTCTAATAAGTCCCTTATCAATTAATATGATATATATATCATATTTATACATATATATTTACATATCCTATTATATATATTTATTTATCTTATTTATATAGGATATATACACAGATGTATATACACACATATATCCTATATAAATAGAATATATAAATAAATACACATAGGATATATAAATACATATAAATAGGGTATCTGTATATAAATATATCCTATATATATAGGATATCTGTGTGTGTGTATATATCCTATAATATACACATGGAATATATATGGATATATACAGATACATACATGTATATATACACATGGAATATATATGAATATATATAGATATATACATGTATATGTGTATATATATCTTATGTATATACAATATATATATAGTGTATACCTATCCTATGTGTGTGTATATATATCCTATGTATATGTCTCTCTGGAGAACCCCTGACTCTATATACATAGCTGTGTATATGCATAGCTGTGTATACAGCTATGTATATAGAGTCGGGGTTCTCCAGAGAGACATATACAGGGGTATATCTGTATATGTCTATGTTACTAGAGTATGTTTTGGTGTTGGTTATGTAATATTATTATGAACTCACAGATTTAAAATCATTTGATAGGTTTCAGTCTGTTGCAATTACTGTCTATCTTAAAGATTACATAGTTCCATCTTTGGCCAGTAGAGGCCTATTGGAGTTGGCTCCTGATATATATCTCTGTACATGTCTCTCTGGAGAACCTTAATACATATTCCAACTAATAAACAGCCAGGCATGATGGCTCACACCTGTAATCCTAGCACTTTGGAAGGCCGAGGCGGGCGGATCACGAGGTCAGGAGTTTGAGACCAGCCTGGCCAATATAGTGAAACCCCGTCTCCACTGAAAATTCAAAAAAGTGGCTGGGTATGGTGGCAGGCGCCTGTAATCCCAGCTACTTGGGATGCTGAGGCAGGAGAATCGCTTGAACCCGGGAGGCAGAGGTTGCAGTGAGCTGAGAACACGCCATTGCACTCCAGCCCGGGTGACGGTGTGAGATTCCATCTCAATTAATAAATAGAAAATGACATAAGTCACCATTTTACAACTCCCAGTGAATTTATCCAGGCATTGCAAATCAATGTCTAGTTAGCTCATGAAAAGAAAGACAACCAGACTATGTGGTTCCTGGTGAAAGAACACAATATCACCTATAGTCTGTTAAAGGGATCAAATTCATTGTGATCAAACTTCTGGATCCAGCCATCAAGTTTCAGGAAATACAAATAGCAGGACGATTTTGAGTTGCATTACATATGTAATCAGTAACATTTAGACTGTGGGAAACTCGACAATTCAAACATCCCAGGTTCTTCATCAGATAAATTATTAGGAAAAAAAAGAGAAAAAAACGAAGTATAGTTTAAAAGATTTTGAGACTTAAAATACACAGCAATCTTTTTTCAATGGGCAAGACTAAATTATAGTGTCAAGGTCACACACTTGGGTAATAATACTTTAAAAAGAAAGTCCAGGAAATGATTTCTATAAAATTCAGGATGGTTGTTACTTCTTAGAAGAAGGTGTTTCATTGAGATAGAGCAAGAGAGGAACTCCGGAGTGAGTTCTCGACCTCTATCTCTCGACCTGAGTGGTGATTTCAAGCATATCTTTCTTATAATAACTCACTAAGCTACAGATTCATCTTGTGGAGCTTTCTGTATCTGAGGTTATTTTACAATAAAAGTTTTAAAATATATTTAAATCCCTGTGTTTATGCCTTTTTTAGAGACAGGATCTTGGTCTATTGCCCAGGCTGGAGTGCAGTGTCACAATCACAGCTTACTGCAGCCTCGACCTCCTGAGCTCAGGTGATTCTCCCACCTCAGCTTCCTGAGTACCTGGGGCTACAGGTGTGCTCCACCACACCTGGCTAATTTTTTATTTTTTGTAGAGATGGGGGCTGGTCTTGAACTCCTGGGCTTAAGTGGTCCTCCTGCCTCAGCCTCCCAAAGTGTTGAGATTACAAGTGTGAACCACCGTACCTGGCCAGTTTATTCATTCTTAATGATACCAAAAACAAAACAATGCACAGACACACACACACACACACACACACACAAATTTCCCAACATTAAGAATATTAAAGAACCAATTCATTATTTTTGAACTTTACCTAAATAAAAATAATCAAGCATTTATCCTATGTTTCCTTTATAAATTATACCACTGGGTAACAAATGAGAAGTTTTTCTTTATAGACATAAATGAAGAAGGAATGATAAAATTAGAATATCATCATTTTGCAAACCCAAACCGAACTGCAAATTCAGTAAAATCCAGACGGAGAAAATCTACAGGACAAACAACTTTGTTTCTTCAACAAATAAGTTGCAAGTAAGAGAGCAAGAAAGAAAGTAAAACCTACAGATTAAAATAGAACTGAGAGACACAGCAATCACTTATGTGAATTTTATTTGTCTTCTAATTCCAAAAAAAAAAAGCTGAAAGAGAGGACAATTACAAAACAATTGGAAATGTAAACACTGACATGAAATCTGATGATTTTAAAGAATTATTTTTATTTTTAGCATGATAATGGTATTGTGACAGTTATTAAAGCGTACTTAGCTTTTTTTTCCTACTTTTATTTTCAATTCAGGGATGTATGTGCAAATTTGTTACATGGGTACATTGCATGACGCTGAGGTTTGGGGTACAAATGATTCCGTCACTTAGGTACTGACCATAGTTCCCAATAGTTAGTTTTTCTATTTTTCTTTTTTATTATTATAGTTTAAGTTCTGGGGTACATGTGCAGAATGTGCAGGTTTGTTACATAGGTATACATGTGCCATGGTGGTTTGTGGCACCCAGCAACCCATCATCTGGATTTTAAGCCCCACATGCATTAGCTGTTTGTCCTAATGCTATCCCTGCCTTTGGCCCCCACCCCCCAACAGGCCCCAGTGTGTGATGTTCCCATTGCTGTGTCCATGTGTTCTCACTGTTCAACTCCCACTTTTGGGTGAGAGTATGCAGTGTTTGGTTTTCTCTTCCTGTGTTACTTTGTTACATGGATGAAGGTTTCCAGCTTCATCCATGTCCCTGCAAGGGGACATGAACTCATTCTTTTTTATGGCTGGATAGTATTCCGTGGTATATATGTGCCATATTTTCTTTATCCAGTCTATCATTGATGGGCATTTGGGTTGGTTCCAAGTCTTTGCTATTGTAAACAGTGCTGCAATAAACATACATGGGCATGTGTCTTTATAGTAGATTGATTTATACTCCTTTGGGTATATACCCAGTAACGGGATTGCTGGATCGAGTGGTATTTCTGGTTCTGGATCCTTGAGGAATTGCCACACTGTACTCCACAATGGTTGAATTAATTTACACTCCCACTAACAGTGTAAAAGCATTCCTATTTCTCCACTTCCTCTCCAGCATCTGTTGTTTTCTGACTTTTTAATGATTGCCATTCTAACTGGCACGAGATGGTATCTCATTGTGGTTTTGTTTTGCATTTCTCTAATGACGAGTGATGATGAGCTTTTTTTCATAAGTTTACTGGCCACATAAATGTCTTCTTTTGAGAAGTGTCTGTTCGTATCCTTTGCTCACTTTTGATGGGGTTATTTTTTTCATGTAAATTTGTTTAAGTTCCTTGTAGATTCTGGATATTAGACCTTTGTCAGATGGATAGATTGCAAAAATTTTCTCCCTTTCTGTAGGTTGCATGTTCACTCTGATGATAGTTTCTTTTGCTGTACAGAAGCTCTTTATTTTAATTAGATCCCATTTGTCAATTTCAGCTTTTGTTGCCATTGTTTTTGGTGTTTTAGTCATGAAGTCTTTGCCCATGCCTATGTCCTGAATGGTATTGCCTTGGTTTTCTTCTAGGGTTTTTATGGTTTTAGGTCTTACATTTAAGTCTTTAATTATCTTGAGTTAATTTTTGTATAAGATGTAAGGAAGGGGTCCAGTTTCTGTTTTCTGTATATGGCTAGCCAGTTTTCCCAACACTATTTATTAAATAGGGAATCTTTTCCCCATTTCTTGTTTTTGTCAGGTTTGTCAAAGATCAAATGGTTGCAGATGTGTGGTGTTATTTCTGAGGCCTCTGTTCTGTTCCATTGGTCTATATATCTGTTTTGATACCAGTACCATGCTGTGTTGGTTACGGTAGCCTTGTAGTATAGTTTGAAGTCAGGTAGTGTGATGCCTCCAGCTTTGTTCTTTTTGCCTAGGATTGTCTTGGCTATACTGGCTCTTTTTGGGTCCCATATGAAATTTAAAGTAGCTTTTTTCTAATTGTGTGAAGAAAGTCAATAGTAGCTTGATGGCAATAGCATTGAATCTATAAATTACTTTGGGCAGTATGGCCATTTTCATGATATTGATTCTTCCTATCCATAAGCATGGAATGTTTTCCATTTGTTTGTGTCTTCTCTTACTTCCTTGAGCAGTGGTTTGTAGTTCCCCTTAAAGAGGTCCTTCATATCCCTTGTAAGTTGTATTCCTAGGTATTTTATTCTCTTTATAGCAATTGTGAATGGGAATTCACCCATGATTTGGCTCTCTGTTTGTCTATTATTGGTGTATAGGAATGCTTGTGATTTTTGCACATTGTTTTTGTATAGTGAGACTTCACTGAAGTTGCTTATCAGCTTCAGGGGGTTTGAGGCTGAGACAATGGGTTTTTCTAAATATACGACAAATTGACTTCCTCTCCTCCTATTTGAATACCATTTATTTCTTTCTCTTGCCTGATTGCCCTGGCCAGAACTTCCAATACTATGTTGAATACAAGTGGTGAGAGAGGGCATCCTTTTCTTGTGCCAATTTTCAAAGGGAATGTTTCCATCTTTGGCCCATTGAGTATGATATTGGCTATGGGTTTGTCATAAATAGCTCTTATTACTTTGAGATATGTTCCATCAATATCTAGTTTATTGACTGTTTTCAGCATGAAGGGGCATTGAATTTTGTCAAAGGCCTTTTCTGCATCTAGTGAGATAATCATGTGGTTTTTGTCATTGGTTTGGTTTATGTGATGGATTACATTTATTGATTTTCATATGTTGAACCAGCCTTGCATCCCAGGGATGAAGCTGACTTGGTCGTGGTGGATAAGCTTTTTGATGTGCTGCTGGATTCAGTTTGCCAGTATTTTATTGAGGAGTTTCACATTGATGTTCATCAGGGACATTGGCCTGAAGTTTTCTTTTTTTATTGTGTCTCTGCCAGGTTTTGGAATTAGGATGATGCTGGCCTCAAAATGAGTTAGGGAGGAGTCCCTCTTTCTAGGTTATTTGAAATAGTTTCAGAAGGAATGGTACCAGCTGCTCTTTGTACCTCTGGTAGAATTCAGCTGTGAATCCATCTGGTCCTGGGCTTTTTTTGGTTGGTAGGCTACTAATTACTGCCTCAATTTCAGAACTTGTTATTGGTCTATTCAGGGATTCGACTTCTTCCTGGTTTAGTCTTGGGAGGGTGTATGTATCCAGGAATTTGTCCATTTCTTCTAGATCTTCTAATTTATTTTCATAGAAGTGTTTATAGTATTCTCTGATGGTAGTTGGTATTTCTGTGGGATCAGTGGTGATATCCCCTTTATCATTTTTTATTGTGTCTATTTGATTCTTCTGTCTTTTCTTCTTTATTAGTCTGCCTAGCAGTCTATCTAGTCTGTTAATCTTTTCAAAAAACCAGCTCCTAGGTTCGTTGATTTTTTGAAGGGGTTTTCGATGTCTCTATCTCCTTCAGTTCTACTCTGGTCTTAGTTATTTCTTGTCTTCTACTAGCTTTTGAATTTGTTTGCTCTTGCTTCTCTAGTTCTTTTAATTGTGATGTTAGGGAGTTGATTTTAGATCTTTCCTGCTTTCTCCTATGGGTATTTAGTGCTATAAATTTCCCTCTAAACACTGCTTTAGCTGTGTCCCAGAGATTCTGGCCCGTTGTGTCTTCATTCTCACTGGTTTCAAATAACTTCTTTATTTCTGCCTTAATTTCATTATTTATGCAATAGTCATTCAGGAGCAGGTTGTTCAGTTTCCATTTGTTGTGCAGTTTTGAGTGAGTTTCTTCTAATCCTGAGTTCTAATTTGATTGCACTGTGGTCTGAGAGACTGTCATGATTTCTGTTCTTTTGCATTTGCTGAGGAGTGTTTTACTTCCAATTATGTGGTTAATTTTAGAATAAGTGCTATGAGCTGAGAAGAATGTATATTCTGTGGATTTGGGGTGGAGATTTCTGTAGATGTCTATTAAGTCCTCTTGGTCCAGAGCTGAGTTCAAGTCCTGAATATCCTTGTTAATTTTCTCTCTCATTGATCTTTCTAATATTGACAGTTGGGTGTTAAAGTCTCCTACTATTATTGTGTGGGAGTCTAAGTCTCTTTGTAGGTCTCTAAGAACTTGCTTTATGAATCTGGGTGCTCCTATATTGGGTGCATATATATTTAGGATAGTTAGCTCTTCTTGTTGCATTGATCCCTTTACCATTATGTTATGCCCTTCTTTGTCTTTTCTTGTCTTTGTTGGTTTAAAGTCAGTTTTATCAGAGACTAGGATTGAAACCCCTGCTTTTTTTTCCTTACATTTTCTTGGTAAATATTCCTCCATCCCTTTATTTTGAGCCTATGTGTGTCTTTGCACGTGAGATGGGTCTCCTGAATACAGCACACCGATAGGTCTTGAATCTTTATCCAATTTGCCAGTCTGTGTCTTTTAATTGGGGCATTTAGCCCATTTACCTTTAAGGTTAATATTGTTATATGTGAATTTGATCCTGTCATTATGATTCTAGCTGTTCATTTTGCACATTTGTTGATGCAGTTTCTTCACAGTGTCATTGGTCTTTACATTTTAGTATGTTTTTGCAGTGGCTGGTACTGGTTTTTCCTTTCCATATTTAGTGCTTCCTTCAGGAGCTCTTGTAAAGTAGGCCTGGTGGTGACAAAATCTCTCAGCATTTGCTTTTCTGTAAAGGATTTTATTTCTCCTTCACTTATGAAGCTTTGTTTGGCTGGATATGAAATTCTGGGTTGAAAATTCTTTTCTTTAAGAATGTTGAACCAACATGACACATGTATACATATGTAACAAACCTGCACATTGTGCACATGTACCCTAAAACTTAAATAATAATAATAATAAATTATTATTATTAAACTTAAAGAATAATAATAATAAAATTTTAAAAAAAAGAATGTTGAATATTGCCCCCACTCTCTTCTGGCTTGTAGGGTTTCTGCAGACAGATTTACTGTTAGTCTGAAGGGCTTCCCTTTGTAGGTAACCTGACCTTTCTCTCTGACTTCCCTTAACATTTTTCCTTCATTTCAGCCATGGTGAACCTGACAATTATGTGTCTTGGGGTTGCTCTTCTCAAGGAGTATGTTTGTGGTGTTCTCTCTATTTCCTGAATTTGAATGTTGGTCTGTCTTGCTAGGTTGGGGAAGTTCTCCTGGATAATATCCTGAAGTGTGTTTTCCAACTTGGTTCCATTCTCCCTGTCACTTTCAGGTACACCAATCAAGCATGGGTTTAGTCTTTCCAATAGTCCTGTATTTCTTGGAGTCTTTGTTCATTCCTTTTCATTCTTTTTTCTCTAATCTTGTCTTCACGCTTTATTTCATTAAGTTGATCTTCAATCTCTGATATCCTTTCTTCCACTTTATCGATTTGGCTATTGATACTTGTGTGTGCTTCATAAAGTTCTTGTGCTGTGTTTTTCAGCTCCATCAGGTCATTTATGTCTTCTCTAAACTGGTTATTCCAGTTAGCAATTCCTCTAACCTTTTCTCAAGGTTCTTAGCTTCCTTGCATTGGGTTACACCTTCTGAAGTCTACTTCTGTCAATTCATCATACTCATTCTCCATCTAGTTTTGTTCCCTTGCTGGTGAGGAGTTGTGATCCTTTGGAGGAGAAGGGGCATTCTGGTTTTGGAATTTTCAGCCTTTTCGCACTGGCTGTTTCTCGTCTTTGTGGATTTATCTATCTTTGATCTTTGATGCTGTTGATTGGATGGGGTTTTTGCGTGGCCATCCTTTTTGTTGATGTTGAAGCTATTCCTTTCTGTTTATTAGTTTTCCTTGTAACAGTCAGGCCCCTCTGCTGCAGGTTTGCTGGAGTTTGCTGGAGGTCCACTCCAGGCCCTGTTTGCCTGGGTGTCACCAGCGGAGGCTGCAGAACAGCAAAGATTGCTTTCTGCTTCTTCCTCTGGAAGCTTCGTCCCAGAGGGGCACCCACCAGATGCCAGCTGGAGTTCTCCTGTATGAGGTGCCTGTTGACCCCTGCTGGGAAGTGTCTCCCAGTCAGGAGGCACGGGGGTCAGGGACCCACTTGAGGAAGCAGTCTGTCCCTTAGCAGAGCTTGAGCGCTGTGCTGGGAGATCTGCTGCTTTCTTGAGAGCCAGCAGGCAGGAACATTTAAGTCTGCTGAAGCTGCACGCACAGCCGCCCCTTCCCCCAGGTGCTCTGTCCCAGGAAGATGGGAGTGTTATCTATAAGGCTCTGACTGGGGCTGCTGCCTTTCTTTCAGAGATGCCCAGAGAGGTGGAATCTGGAGAGGCAGTCTGGCTACAGTGGCTTTGCTGCACTGTGGTGTGTTCTGCCCAGTCTGAAGTTCCTAGCGGCTTTGTTTACACTGTGAGGGGAAAACTGCCTACTCAAGCCTCAGTAATGGCAGACACCCCTCCCCCCACCAACCTCCAGCGTCCCAGGTCGACCTTAGCTTGCTGGGCTCTGTGGGGGTGAGACCCACTGAACAAGACCACTTGGCTCCCTGGCTTCAGCCACCTTTTAAGGGGAGTGAACGTTTCTGTCTCGCTGGGGTTCCAGGTGTCACTGGGGTGCAAAAAAAACAAAAAAACAAAAAAAACTCCTGCAGCTAGCTCAGTGTCTGCCCAAACAGCCTCCCAGTTTGTGCTTGAAACCCAGGGCCCTGGTGGCCTAGGCACTCGAGGGAATCTCTTGGTCTACGGGTTGCAAAAACCATGGGGAAAGCATAGTATCTGAGCTGGATAACATCTTCCCTCATGGCACAATCTCTCATGGCTTCCCTTTGCTAAGGGAGAGAATTCCCAGGCCCCTTACACTTCTCAGGTGAGGTGATGCCCCACCCTGCTCGGTTTGCCCTCCATGGGCTGCACCCACTGTCTAAGCAGTCCCAGTGAGATGAACCAGGGAATCTGGCAAGATGGCCAAATAGGAACTGCTCCAGTCTGCAGCTCCCAGCAAGACCAATACAGAAGGCAGGTGATTTCTGTATTTCCAACTGAAGAATCCTTAACTTTAAGATACTGATATGCTATGCTGTCTGGAATTTGCTTCAAAATAAATGGGAGTGTATAATTGGGTAGGGAAATAGATAAAACTGATTTGGTTATGGATTGATCACTTCTGACACTAGGTATGAATAATAATGGTTTATTATGCCATTTTCTCTAATTTTGTGTATTTTAAAATTTTTCCATAAAAAGAAGCTAAGGATAAAATATTATGTCAGATACTTAACCAGGTCTTCAGTATCAATAGAGTCATCAAATGTTATATAGTCTGACAGCACTAATATATGATCCAGCAATTCCACTGCTAACTATATACTGAAAAAAAGGAAATCAGGTTATTGAAGAGATATCTGCACTCTCATGTTTATTGCAACCCTATTCACAATAGCCAAGATTTAGAAGCAACTTAAGTGTCCATCAACAGATGGATGAATAGAGAAAATGTGGTACATATACACAATGAAGTACTATTCAGCCATAAAAAAGAAAAAGAATGAGATCGTCATTAGCAACAACATGGATGGAACTGGAGAATGTTATATTAAGTGAAATAAGCCAGGCACAGAAAGACAAACTTCACATGTTCTCACTTATTTGTGGGAGCCCAAAGTTAAAACAATTGAACTCACAGAGAGAGAGAGTAGAAAGACAGTTACCAGAGGCTGGGAGGAGTAGTGAGGAGGTGAGCGCAAGGGGAAGTGAGGATTGTTAGTGAGTACAAAAAAATAGTTAGAAAGAATGAATAAAACCTAGCATTCGATAGCACAGTAGGGTGACTATAGTCAATAATAATTTAATTGTACATTTTAAGATAACTAAAAGAGTATAATTGGTTTGTTCGTAATACAAAGGATAAATACTTGAGGGGATGGATACTCAATTTACTCTAATGTAACTATTACACATTGTATGCCTATATCAAAAATATCCTCTATACATCATAAATAGATATACCTACTATGTACCCCAAAAAATTAAAAATTAAAAACTATAAAAAGGCCTGGCTCACACCTGTAATCCCAGCACTTTGAGGGAATGAGGTAGGAGGATCATCTGAGCCTAGGAATTCAAGACCAGCCTTGGCAACATAGCAGGATCTCATCTCTACTAAAAATTTAAAAAATGAGCCAGGTGTTGGTGGTGTGTAGTCCCAGCTACTTGGGAGCTGAGGCAGGAAGATTGCATTAGCCCGTGAGGTCAAGGCTACAGTGAGCTGTGATCTTGCTATTGCACTCCAACCTGGGTGACAGAGCATGACCCTGTCTCAAAAAATTTTTTTTAATTTTAAATAGACAATCTGGAGAATCAATTCATATATTTCATAATATCAGTATGAAACCTGGATGTATTTCTTACAAATAAAGGGTAATTTTATATAACTATAAAATTGTAAGTCTATACAACTTAAGTATACAAAATTCAGATGGATTAATTTATTTTTGTATATAAATTATATTCACTAAAAAGCAAATTCAATACACAATAATGAGCATTACATAAGATGCATTCAATAAAAATGTACATAAATATAATTAAGAGTTAATTACAATTATAATTTCTTCCTTATTTATGTGAGATTGTAGCTTTGAATTTAAATGGATGGAAATAGGACTCATCGAACCACGCAGTAACCTTCAGTAGGCAATACTCTCACAAATCAGTGTCTCAGTTTTATGTTAAAGCACATGGAACTTGGATAAATCAAGGATTTTTCTAGAGGGAAAAACCAAAACAATTAACTTTTTCAAATATTATACTTGTGTATCCATTCAAACGTCTACTCCACAGTTGAATTTTGTGCTTTCCTTGGGTTAGGAACTGTTCCAGGCACCAGTGATAGACACAGCCTCTCTACTTTATATTCACATTCTAAGAATAGAAACACGTATGCAAAATATTCGTACAATATAACCTCATATCTTACAAAAATTAATAGGATATGAGAGAGAATGTAATTCCTTAATCCATGCATATACATTTTATAAGAACTGTGACACCATATTATTTGTACGAATTTAAAACACACAGGACAATAGAGTTTTCTAAGATACACGTGTATCTAAAGATAAACCAAAATATCAGAGTTCAGCTGTTTGTGGGATATGGGGAAAACAGCAAGGGTGTGGGGATGGAAGCTAAAAGGAAAAAACAAAAATGAAATAATAGCATGTCAAAAACTAAAGATAATTAATAACTCAATTACCTGCTACCTGAGGCAAAATGGTGGTGGATAAGGTGGAATGTGTGAAGGGAGGAAAAAGGGAAACCCCGTCTAGAAGTATTACAGATCACTTCCACTCACACTGCATTGATGATCATTGTGACATGGGCATATTTGAGTGCAAGGAGGAGGGGAAGGAGTCCTGAGCCCAGCAAAGTATCTCCTAGAGACAACATTCCATATTTTACAATAAAGAGCACATGTTTGGCAGAAAGCCAGATTTTCTGCTTAGCTGCCAAAAGCTGCTGAGCTTAAGACCGTGTTCAAAGATTTATAGTAAAAGGAATTTGCCAACCAGCAGACCCAATTCAAATGAAGTGAAGTAATTTGCTATTATTGGTACCTTGCATGGATTTTCTCATTTAATGCCTATGTTAACCCTGTGAAATAGGTATTGTCATATCCAAAACTTAAAATGAGGAAACTGAAATGCCAAGAGGTTATCTAACTTGCCCAATGTCACAGAGTCAGCAAGTCAAAGAGCCAGGGATTCCAAATATTATATTTTTGACGTCTGTATGTTCTCCAGGCTCCAGGAGACACATACAAGCTCTTTAAGCGGTCTCCTTAATACCTTTCTTACTTGGTTTATGACGAAGAGAAAGCAATCCTCCCCTTATCCCACATTACGTTATGAATGGAGACTGGGAGTGATACAAGAACATTCCAAACCTATCTGAAGGAATCTCTTTTTCTCTCCTCTTTTCTCTCTCCGCACCCCCCCACCACCTGTTCCCCTTCATAAGCTGAAGGTAAATGATCACTAATACTTGTTTCATAGTCTCCTTCTCACATATTTAGGGTATTGGGAAACTATTATATTGGCCACTTGTGTCATGTTCTCAGCCTTTGGAACCTCATTTAGCATTCTGCTTATTTTCTATTTTCACCACTGGACTCTAAACCTCCTTGGAGGTAGTCTAGTCCAACAGGCAATTGTCAAAAGAATACTGTGTTAGGCATTGTGGTGGGGGTCAGGGCATGGAGATATAAGAAGAATGAGTCATAGGCTAGGCTCTGAAGTTGTTGTCATTCTAGAGCAGCTTGTCCAGAAGAGCTTTCTGAGATGACGAGGTGTTCTGTATCTGCATGTTTCAATGTAGTAGCCAGTAGCCATTGGCAAAACTCACACAATAGTATTTCAGAACACATATTTAGGTGCATATTTATATATTAAGTAAAAGATATGCAAGGAAGTGATTGCCACAGTCAGGCTAAGTTGTCTCTGGGGGAGGGTTATGGAGTTGCTTTGGAGAGGCAGCAGTATTATTTTTCATAATGTCCATGGTGGTTACACAAGCATTTGTTTTAAATGTTTGTTAAGGTTGGATTATATTTAATAGTGAAAAGTCTTTAAGACAAATATTGTTTTCAAAAAATTAATACTGAATATGATAGTTAAGATCAGCTCTTCCATAGGCTCATAATGTAATTTCACCATTTTTATGGGCATCACTTTGGTTGGTTTTTCTAATCTTAAGTAAGCAAGTGTTTGTAATGTTTTTATGTCAGAATGCATTTGATTTTTAAAAATGTTTGTCTCTTTTCCATGAAGGTAGTTTAATTAATTCTTTGTCTTAGGATTTGGAAGTGGATAAAACTGGTTTTTTAAAAATGTTTTTATTTGTAAGAACAGTTGAAAGTTGCAGCTATTTGGAGACTATTTTTGAATTTACAACACCACAGCTTGGTTATTTGAAAAAGGTTGATTTCACTCTGCCACAAAAATTGATTCTTTTCCAATCTGGAGACCTCAAGATGTTCTGATTTTGGAGAAAATTGCTAGTAGAATAAAAATGGCTAACACTGAGAACACTATGTCCCACATTTTTCTTTGCCAACTTTAAATAATGCTTAGAATAGATTACACATCAGTTCTCCAACATTTTCTCCTTGAGACTTCCTTCCTACCACCCTTCATGGTCAATAAAAGGATTCCAGAGGAGTCAATTCTTAATTAGCAAAAGGAAAAAGATTGGTCTAGAAAAGAGTAGCTTACTCTGAAGATAAGTCATCTGTCGGTGGCAAACCAGTCCAACCTCGACAAAGATGTGTGAAAACCTTCCATTGACATAATTTAATAAGACAGTAAAGCAATGCCATCAAAGCATCTCAACATGAAATATCAGCCAAATAGTTGTTGGTTCTGGATACAGACAAACTTGGTAGGGCATATTTTCTTCCAAATGCTTCCTTACTTTTACTCATGGCATTTTTTTTTAAGAGACAGCCTCACTCTGTTACCCAGGCTGGAATGCCGTGGCATGATTATAGCTCACTGCAGCCTCCAACTCCTGGGCTCAAGCAACCCTCCAAGCTCAGCCTTTTGAGTAGCTGGGGACTCAACATGTTGCCCAGGCTGGTCTCGAACTCCTGCCCTCAAGCACTCCTCCCCGTTTGGCCTCCCAAAGTGCTGAAATTACAGGCATGAGTCACTGCACCTAGCCCTTATTCATGGCCTTTTTTTTTTTTTTAACCAATTAGGATTTTTCACTTTGCTGTTAAAGTATGTAATTTTGGCAAACCAGATTATACATACATTTCTATAAATTTATATATGTATAAAAATATTCATCTAATGCACCATCATGTCAAAAGATAATAAGAAAGGTGAAGCTGAAATAGATTTGTGACTTCTCCAGTAGTCAATTACATCAATGGTGTTTTGCCACTCTAGGTTAACCAAATTTGATGAGCAGAAGCATAATAATCACTGATACCTTTGACAATGGTAATTATTACTATTATTATTATTATTGCATTTTTAGTAGAGAGGGGGTTTCATCACAGTGGTCAGGCTGGTCTTGAACTCCTGACCTCAGGTGATCCACTTGCCTCGGCCTCCCAAAGTCCTGGAATTGCAGGCGTGAGCCACCATGCCCAGCCCAACGACAGTAATTATTATGAAGACAGGTAAACATTTCACTTAGATATGCATTAAGCTTCATATTGTATTATCACGTTTGCAGTCCTTGGTTTGATTGGTATGTTTAAGAATCCACATGAACCAAGTTAGAGTTGTCCTCTTTAAACACAGGCATGAAAACTGGTAACCTTCTCAAAGCATTCTTACATTCCCATTAATTGTAAGACCAAAAAAAGTTTCTCCTTTCTTAGTAATAGAATATCTACATATCTACTAGGTTACTTTTCTGAGTACATAAAATTACATACATAAATATCAACTGAAATCTATGTGCTCATTTTAGTATATTTTCTAATCTTATTTTCAACAGTCTAATATATTGCTATTTCTTCACTAATGCTTTTTTTGTTTGTTTGTTTGAGACAGGGTCTCACTCTGTCACCCAGGCTGGAGTGCAGTGCCGCAATCTCAGCTCACTGCAACTTCACCTCCTGGGTTCAAGCAATCTTCCCACCTCAGCCTCCTGAGTAGCTGGGACTACAGGTACATGCCACCACGCCTGGCTAATTTTTGTATTTTTTTGTAGAGGGGAGGTTTCACCATGTTGACCAGGCTGGTCTGGAACTCCTGGACTAAGTGATCTGCCTGCCTCGGCCTCCCAAACTGCTGGGATTACAGGCATGAACCACTGCACCTGGCCTGCTAATGCTTTTAACTTTTTTGTTGTTTGTTTGTTTGTTTGTTTGTTTGTTTTTTGAGATGGAGTCTCGCTCTGTCGCCAGGCTGGAGTGCAGTGGCGCAATCTTGGCTCACTGCAACCTCCGCCTCCCAGATTCAAGTGATTCTCCTGCCTAAGCCTCCCAGGTAGCTGGGACTACAGGCACATGCCACCACAACTGGCTAATTTTTGTATTTTTAGTAGAAACAGGGTTTCACCATGATGGCCAGGATGGTCTCGATCTGTTTTAACTTTTTAAAATTTTGCAATTTCTTCTTCCACTCCTTAACCTCTTTGTCTCTTCTTTCTCTAGGTACTTGTTAATTATCATCAGGGTCAGACAGAATCCTTGTAGGCATTTTGAAAAAAGATAACATTTCCTTCCTTGAATAATTTAAAGGAATGAATAGGTTTGTCCAAGACCATGTTTATTATTACTTTAGGTCAAACTATTTGAAATTGCTGGGTTTTTTTAATTAAATTTTTAAAAAACCAAAACCCATTGAAATGTAGCAACGAGCATTGCCCTACATTATTTTTTTCTTAGCTCCGTATCTCATCTTCTTTTTCATAATATCTCTATGAATCTTATGAAACTTATGCTCCAGGCATACTGGTTTAGTCATTGTACCCCCAATACATTCTGCTTTTAATCAATGGTTCACCTCACTCAGAATGCCCTCCTTGCTACCTATCAATAACCTACACATCTTTTATTTATTTATTTTTATTTTATATATATATATATATAATTTTTTTTTTTTTTTTTTTAGACAGAAGTCTTGCTCTTGTTGCCCAAGCTGGAGTGCAATGGTGCGATCTCGGCTCACTGCAACCTCTGCCTCCCAGGTTCAAGCGATTCTCCTGCCTCAGCCTCCCAAGTAGCTGGGATTACAGGCACCTGCCACCACACCCGGCTATTTTTGTATTTTTAGTAGAGATGGGGTTTCACCATGTTGGCCAGGCTGGTCTTGAACTCTTGACCTCAGGTGATCCACCTGCCTCAGCCTCCCAAAGTGCTGGGATTACAGGCGTGAGCCACTGCGCCCGGCCATAACCTACACATCTTTTAAAGCCCCCTTCAAATACAATAGTGAAGATAGTCTTCTTCCTGACAACTCACAAGCACTTCTTCCCGCACTCTTTATGTTATTCAGTATTTAACATGAATTTATTGATCAAATTAGTTTCCAGGCACTGTACTGGGGATCCAAGGAAGAATAAGACAGACACACTGTCTGCTCTTCAGGAATTTAAAATCTGATGAGCGACACAGGCATGTAGATGTCTCTCACATGTCTGAAAGAGAGCAGATTAGCTCTCTGGCATCTTCTTATAAGGGCACTAATCCCATTCATGAGGGCTCCACTCTCATGACCTACTTACCTTCCACAGGCTCCACCTCTTAACACCATCACATTAGGGGTTCAAATTTCAACAAATGAATGGGGGGGAGTGGGACAAATATTCAGCACATGACACTATCCCAAAACCTAGTGACTTGAAACCTCAATTTATTATTATTATTATTATTATTATTATTATCTTTTGAACTTCTATGGGTCAACTACAGATTCAGCTGAGTGGTTTACAACTGAGGTCTCTCATGTGTTTGCTCTCAGATGTTGGCTAGGACAGGAATCATCTGAAACCTTCTTCAGTCACATTTCTGGTGACTACAGAGATAGCTTAGGGCTGGACATCCAAGGTATCTCCCTAACAGGATGGTAGCAGAAAGTTAGCTGGATTTCTTACCTGACATATGAGAACTCTAAGAGACAAATACAGAGGCCTAAGACCCAGATGGCTCAGCCTTAGACAGATGCAGAAACCATCTGCACCTCAGAAAGCGGAAAGAATGGGTACAGATAAATATAACTTCTGGGTAAGGGAGAATGAAATTATTAAAATATCAATCCCAAAATTGTTCTGTAATATAGATTCCCTCGGTGGCCAGTAACTAATGCAGGGCAAAAAAGATTCCATGATCAGATTTATTTGGGAATTTCTTAGTTTAAAAAAGTCAATGAGCTTCTTAACTATGGAGATTTTCAGAGCCTGTTATGAGCTAATAATACTTACTGGTAATCTCCAGAGTCCCCCTTTCTATTGAACATTCTTCAGAACGGGGTTTTATGGATCACATCCTAGGAAATGCTGTACAAATGTTTCTCCCATCAAGTAGCAAGAAGTTTTCTAGAGTTGTCATTACTTCTTTATCAGTCAGTATTTTCCAGAAAAACAGACCCAGTAAGATGCGTATATAGAGAAAGAGGGAGAGAGAAAAAGAGATTTATTTTAAGGAATCAGCCTGCTCAATTGTGCAGACTGGCAAGTCCAAAAACTGCAGGGTGGGCTGGCAGGCTGGAAACCTAGGGAAGACTTGTAGTTCTAAAGAGTCTGAAGGGAATCTGCTCTAATTCCCTCATCTTCCCGGGACCTCGGTTTTTTCTCTATTAAGGCCTTTAACTGATTGGATGAGGCCCATCCACATTATGGAAAGCGATACGGTTTGGCTCTGTGTTTCCACCCAAATCTCATTAGTAGCTCGCATAATTCCCACGTGTTGTGGGAGGGACCTACTGGGAGATGATTGAATCTTAGGGGCGGGTCTTTTCCTGTGCTGTTCTTGTGATAGTGAGTGGGTCTCACAAGATCTGATGGTTTTAAAAACGGGAATTTCGGCTGGGCAAGGTGGCTCACGCCTGTAATCCCAGCACTTTGGGAGGCCAAGGCACGCAGATCACGAGGTCAAAAGATCGAGACCATCCTGGCCAATACAGTGAAACCCCGTCTCTACTAAAAATACAAAAATTAGCTGGGCGTGGTGGCATACGCCTGTAGTCCCGGCTACGCAGGAGGCTGAGGCAAGAGAGCCGATTGAACCCCAGGAGGCGGTTGCAGTGAGCCCAGATCGTGCCACTGCACTCCAGCCTGGTGACAGAGCAAGACTTCAAAAAAAAAAAAAAAAAAAAAAAAAAAAAACCAGGAGTTTCTCTGCACAAGCCTTCTCTTTTTGCCTGCTGCCATCCACATAAGATGTGACTTGCTCCTCCTTGCCTTCTGCCATGATCATGGGGCCTCCCCAGCCACGTGGAACTGTGAGTCCAATTAAACCTTTTTCTTTTATAAATTGCCCAGTCTTGGGTATCTCTTTATCAGCAGCATGAAAACGGACTAATAGAGAGGGTATTCTGATTTACTCAAAGTCTACTGATTTAATTGTTAACTTTAACTTAAAATACCTTAAAAATGCCTTTGAAGAAACGTGCAGAATAATGTTTGACCAAATATCTGGGTATAGTGGCCTAGCTAAGTTGACACATGAAATTAACCATCACAATTTCTAAAATAATTTTTAGGGCAAGGGTTGCTACTTCTACATATGAAAAAGAGAATTCTCATTGGTCATAAAAACTTGCCTTAAATCTTCAATGCCTATAAAATATAGAAAACACCTATTTCATTTACTTAGCAGAAGCTAACTTAGCTTGCAATGAAGGAATCCTCTCAGTCTAGATTGTCTATTGACCGTACACTCCAGAAGGGAAAATAAGATGTCGTTATGGATGAGTTTGTGTCCTAGGTAAGCATATTAATCAATATGCAGCATTCAGATCTTAACTTTGGCTTTCCTGATTTAATTCAAGGTAATTAAACCTAGCCTCCCTTCCAAAAAAACCCACTTCACTGGAGATGCTAATACACACACTTCACCTGGTTGACATTGTTTAGCTCAGGGATTCTCAAGGTGTGATTTTCCAGGCAATAGTATCAGCCTTACCTGGGAATTTGTTAAGAGATGCAAATCTTGGCCTTTACCCTTACCAAATCAGGAACTCAGCAGGGAAAGACAGGAGATGGATCTTTGTTTAAAACAAGGCCTTTGTGGGTTTCTGATACATACTCAAGTTTGAGAACCACTGGACTCTTTCCATCTTTTCCACGTGTGGCTCTTCTCTCAATCACTCTACTGAGTTTCAGAAAACAAAACAGGTGATTACTAATTCAGAAAACAAACCAGGTTATTACTGAGAAGCAGTGAGAGGATGGTAAGGAGTAGAGAGTAGCAACGAAGAACCTCTTACCTGAGATAGCAGCTGACAGAGCCAATCCAATGCTAGTAGTTGTCCCAAAGATTGGCCAAGATAAAAACCAGGGTTGATAGTCCAAAACAGGATCACCTAATACAAAAGATAGGAGAATGTGGGAGCTAAAAAGAGGAGAAATTACAGGAGTTGATGAAGGAGAGGCCTTTAAGAGCACAACATAAACGTATCTAATGGAATTCTTGAGATGAATACAAATACCCACGTCAGCTTTTTAAATTATCATGCTGAATTGCTTTGGCATTTGAGGGGCATTTTTTTAAAGCCTCACTGAGAATCCACAGGATTATCAGTAGAATTTAGTAAGTGCCCTTGGTGGGTAACTCCCCATGGAAGCTTTTCCTTCCACACGGTCAGTAGGTCTAAGAACACAAAAAGTATTTTTTGGCTTTCCTATATTTTCACTGGTGGAAGTCAGCCCATTCACACCTAGTGAATAGAAAAAAAAAAGTAGCTTTAGGTTAATATTACAATAAATCAAAAAGAGGCAGATGGCTGCATCTTCTCAGAGCTACCTCTATTCCTGCCTAAGAATCAACCTCATGAGCTTGGTAGAAGGACATTCTGCTAGTTATTCTTTCTTGAAAGACCAGGAATATCAAGAGATTTGGATTTCAGAAAAACAATCCCCTAATTTTTAAGGTTTTTATTCATCTTGTCTTCCACCCGTAGCCCAATAATCTCATTTTAACGGATGTCAGATAGTCATGTTAGTCTCAAAGGGGAACATCTCTGAGATTTCTGGCACATGAAATATGAATTTCTCTGATAAATGCTTCAGCTCCTCACTCAAGTAGCCCTTTTATGTAGTATATAGTATGTACATCCGCTGATGTATTTCAAGATAATTTAGATGCCTAATTTTCAGTTGTCTTTAAAAAAAAAAAAAAAAAACTTAGACCAATTAAGTTTAACAGAGTTTAACTGGGCAAAGAAGGATTCATGAATCAGATAGTCCCCCAAACCAGAATAGATAGAAAGAGATTCCAGCGCTGCTGCATTGTCAGAAGGATTTATGGACAGAAATAGGAAGGCAGTTTACAGAAAGCAGAAGTGAGGCACAGAGACAGCCAGCTTGGTTACAGCTCAGTGTTTTCCTTGTTTGAACACGGTTTGAACATTTGGCTGTGAGTGGTTGAAGTATGCCTGCTGTGATTGGCTGAGACTCAGCTGCTTGTTACAAGGGTAGGCTATAGTCTGTTTACATATCCAGTTAGGTTACAGTTCACTATGTATGGATAAACCTTTAGGCCAAACTTAAAATATGCAAGGAGGCAGCTTTAGGCTAAATTTAATTCAACCGCAGTCATCTGATAGCTAGATATTTCTCAAACTACCTATGGTTAAAAACCGGTTATATTTTTAAATTTCAAATCCATCATGGATCAATACTTTCATAAAATTCAATGAAAATGAATTACTAGAAAAATGATCACATGGGATTTCATGACAGTGTCAAGTTGCTATAAAAGATAGAAATGCAGGCCGGGCACAGTGGCTCACGCCTATAATCCTAGCACTTTGGGAGGCTGAGGCGAGTGGATTGCCTGAGCTCAGGAGTTCAAGACCAGCCTGGGCAACACGTGAAACTCCGTCTCTACTAAAATACAAAACATTAGCTGGGCATGGTGGTGTGCACCTGTAGTCCCAGCTACTCAGGAGGCTGAGGCAGGAGAATTGATTGAACCCAGGAGGCAGAGGTTACAGTGAGCCAAGATCGCACCACTGCACTCCAGCCCGGGCAACAGAGCGAGACTCCGTCTCCAGAAAAAAAAGAAAAGGAAAGATAGATATACTTGCTCTCCATTTCTGTGCTTTTGAACTTTTGAACTCTATCAGATTACAGGCCAACACTACTTCACTGGTCACGCTGTGATTGGCAGTGATGTAGGTACTGCAAACACCTGCAGGTTGATAAGATTATTTCAAGAATTCTAAAAAGCTAGAACTGGCAATGGTGTTGCCAAAGCTCCACCCAATAGACATCTAGATTTGGACATTTCTCCATCAAACATTCCTCTGAAGATAGTTCTGTGAAGCAAGGAAGACAATAGGTGACAAACTTATCTATACACAAATGCTAGCATTACTGAGCTGGCATTTGCCTCTCTGATAAGTCCAGGTAAGTTTACTTACCTGTCAATTGCCATTTTGTTTCATGGCTTTCTCTTTCTAAGTGGAGAGCCGTGAATAATATTGTGGATGTGCTTTCTGATTATTTGTGTGGATTTTTTGCTTATTTTGTTTGTCCTGGATCTAGTCGGAGTGGAAAAGAGGACTGTGGTGAGAACTTTGGGTTGAACAAAATAGCTGCACTCTTCTTTTACAATCCTGAAATGAAATTCAGTACCATCAACTGGCAGATAATGACAGGTGAAGATTTGAGCTTCACTGAAAGAAAAAACTCAGAACAGGTTTTGAAGATTAGACTCTTCTCACTATTCAAAATAGCAAAGACATGGAGTCAACCTAGGTGCCCATCCATGGCGGACTGGATGAAGAAAATGTGGTACATATACACCATGGAATACTATGCAGCCATAAAAGAATGAAATCGTGTCTTGTGCAGCAACACGGATGCATCTGGAGGCCATTATCCTAAGTGAAGTAACTCGGAAACAGGAAACCAAATACCACATGTTCTCACTTGCAAGTGGGAGCTAAACATTGGGTACTCATGGACATAAAGATGGCAACAATAGAAACTGGAGGGTACTAGAGGTAGGAGAGGGGAGGGGTTGCAAAACTAACTATTGGGTACAATGGTCAGTACCTGGGTGATGGGATCGACTGTACCCCAAACCTCAGCATCACACAGTATACTCAGGTAACAAATCTGTACATGTACCCCGAATCAAAAATAAAAGGTGAAGTTATAAAAAATAAAAACCAAAATAAAATCTCCTGGAAATCTTAAAAACAATAAAATGTGTTATTTTAACTGTCCTTCAGACAAGCCAAAAAGGGTGAGGAGAAGAATGTCAAAATTAGAAATTGAACTTCAGAAACACAGAGCCAAGGAAACCCCTGGGAAAGAAGACATCTACAAAGTTAGTGCACAGCGACCTGGATTCCAGAGAAGACTGTTGAGTTCAGTTTAGAGATGAGAACTGCTAACTACCACAACCTGACAATTTATGGTGGGCTTCTAGTAACAGAATAGGATAGACAGAAAAGAGACAGAACGTGAACCTCCGTTTACGTGGAGTGGGTGAGAAATGAGAGTGAAGAAGTTGTGCCATGCTGCAGGGTTTAAGCAAGGAAAGCTGTATGCAAAACACAAGAATTCACAAAGTGGCAATGTGTTCTCAGGGTACAGATAATAATTAGCAAAAGAGAAACAGAGACGATGGGAGCGATGCAAAGTCCAACAGGTGATATTGGGTGATATTTAAAGAACAGACAGGCATCTGGGAATCCTGCCTGATTCTGAAGAACTAGCACAGGCGATCTCAACCACTGGGCCACAGACCAATACCGGTCTGTGGCTTGTTAGGAACCAGGCCGCACAGCAGGAGGTGAGTGGCAGGCAAGCAAGCATTGCCGGCTGAGCTCTGCCTCCTGTCAGATCAGCCACAGCATTAGATTCTCATAGAGTGCAAACCCTATTGTGCACTGTGCATTCGAGGGATCTAGGGCGCACTCTCCTTGTGAGAATCTAATGATAAATGTAATGGGCTTGAATCATCCTGAAACCGTCCCCTCCCTTCCTCGACCCTGTCTGTGGAAAAATTGTCTTCCAAGAAACTGGTCCCTGGTGCCAAAAAGTTGGGGACCACTGGACTGGCGGGATAGGCAGAGTCTTTGTTTTAACAGAGACATACGTCCTCAGAAAACAAAAATTAGCTCAGAGTGAGAGAGTAAAAAATCTCACCATTTATCAGGCTACATTAATAGACATATATAAAGACAGCAGCAAACTGAACAGGAACTATTTCTCTTAAGGGTGTTGAAGCTATAAAGCGTCATAACAACTCCCTTTGTTGAATGGACTCCTGCCTTATTAATCATTAAGAAACTTTATTTTTTTCAAAATCAAAGATTATCAGAGACTTTGTTGCTGTAGATTATATCGGTAAGAATGAAACACTCCATTCTTGCCTGGAGAGTCTAAGCTCTTTTGACACAGAAGCAGTCTCAATTTACAACCCAGGTGCAGAGAGATTCAGATAAGGGGTTTCTGGATACAACAATCCATCTTCATCCTAACTTTGTACCTTGCAAAGAAACAGGAGCCTGGGTCTATTTCATAATCCAAATCCTTATCCCTGTTTTCTTTGAACCTTTCAAACACTGCTTCATTTAAATACTATCTACATTCCACTCATTCCCAAAATCCTATAATAATTCTATCTTTTCCTTTGCTGAGCCACCTCTGCTGTGGTCCACAGCCACCTTCATTGCATTGCATCCATAAAGTCAACTGTATCAGATAACAGGTTTGCTCCTGGTGTTCTCAGGGTGATTGGGCTGGGGAAATTCTCATCCGTTTACCAGAATAGTATGAAGAACCTAGACAGAAGCCAACTTAGAAGATCAGGTCACTCAAAAGGAATTGTTGCTTTGGGACAAGGTCCGAGTCTACTTGTTGGAATCAAGATATTAGGATAAGACAAGAAGTAAGTGTGCCATCATGCTGTACCTAAGGGTTGGTCTGTTGCAGTCTGAGTATCTCTTGCCTTCAGTTCTGTTTGGTCTCAGAATAAAAAAGATGGAGTTAGAATAGCAAAGAAAGATTCAGTGGTTTCAATTGAGGAAAGTGCCAGGAAGGTAGGAACCAGCTGGTTGAGACTGAAATCCAGGAGTGTACAAAAAGACCAGTGATATAAGCCCAAGCACAGCAGTCCCTGGCCAGGGGGTTTGTCTGGGTTCTCACAAAGGGAGATGCCTGGGAATTAAAATCTGCAAAGGGCGAAGAGTTTCCTCCCCACAGAGCTTTCTTAACCTCTTTGAAGAGAAAAAGACTAGGGAGGAAAATAAGGAAACAGAGTAAAGGAGAGATGGGTAGAGCAGGTTGCGAAGCCCAAAATAATGGGTTTGGGAATAAGGGAAGTATCTTATGATCAAGCTCTATAAAATCAGTGCTTCATGCTAGAGTGGGAACTGGGCAAACTCATGGAAGACAGATTGAGTCTCATGTATCTTTAGATTTTGCACAATTTTTCTGAGCTGCAAGACTTCCCCATAGGAATTGAGTTTTTTCTTTTTTTTCTTTTTCAGCATCTGAACCCAAGATCCCTGTTCAGAGGGTAGAGGATGGGAACATTGTGTTGTTGGTTTGTTTCATTCTCTAGAGGATTTGCTTCCAAGCAGCAGTGAATGGATCACTGTGAGAACACAATGATATTTTCATCTATGACTAAACTATTCTATTCTGTTCCTGCTCCTTTTAGGGAGAGGAAAATTGTTCCTGGTTATTTTGGTCTAAAGTTTTTCAAAACTTCCATTACAAATCATAAAGCAAGTTTGACTTCTGGGAAATTACACTTCAGTTAATAATTTTAAATGTATTTGTATGGTGAAGTATAACTTTATAAATGTTATCTTTTTATGTAAAAAATATATTTTTTAAACAACAACAACAAAACCTGTTACCACATTTCCTGATTTGTGGTATGACCGACACAGAGAGAATTCTCCGGTCGATGGGGAGGACAAGACCACCTCTGAGAGTAAGTTTTCAGATCTTGTCTTCAGTCATCTGTGGAGTAATCCATGCAGCCAGAAAGAAATCTTGAATTTCTAACAAGTCCACCAGCACCATCCTGATAGCCTCTTGTTCAAGAGTGACAATGTTTCCTTGGCTCTTTTTACCGTGGTACAGATAAATCTAGAAACGCATTCCACTGCCACTCTTCCCTGTCCGTCTACACATACATCCTTCTTTCTTTCTTTCTTTTTTCTTTAAAATCTCTGCTTCAAAGTGGGAAAGAAACTTAGAGGTTTCTAGGGAAAAAGTGAATGTGAAAAAGTGAATATAAAATGATTACTAGCAGTAATTATTTTCTAAACCAATGGCTTTCAAACTTTTTAAAACTACAATCAACAATAAGAAAGGCATTTTCCATCAGGTCCTACTACATGTACACTTGGACATATTTGTGTGTGTACATATATAGATAGATATGATCCAGGTTCACAAAACAGTACAGATGGTACATTATGATTTTTCTTTTTTATTCTTTTGTTTTATAAAATATTTATCATTAGTCACTAAATTGATATGATCTACTAAATGAGTGGCAACCTGCAGTTTAAAAAATACTGTTTTTGTGGGCAATATTAGCAGACAGCCTATTAATCTTTATTCCAGAAAATAACTCAAAATAAGCTTTGTTTCCTAATACCAGACTTCTTGTGTTCAAAGGATCTACTTTTGCGATGTTCTTTTGTAGTGTGTCTGCTCCATTCTTTCCCTGAAAGTCCAGAAGTCAATGCAGATGTGATTATATAAGAAAATCAAGATCATATCTTTGTTACTTCTGGTATCAACCCTAGATTCTGAACATTCCCTGCCTCTAAATATTTCTTAAAGTAAATTCTTTATAAGAACTGGCTAGAAATTGATCCAGCTTAGGCTGTTACTGCAGGCAATATCTGCAGAGACTTTTATCAGACTGGAAATGGCTTAGAAAGTGATGGAACAATAAAGGCAGATCAAATACCTTATGGCACTTCATAAAACGAAATACAGCACACCCGTGAAGAAAAATGAAGTTGATCTGTGTGCTATGAACCAATATTTAAGGTATTTATTAAATTGAAAAAAATAAGATGAACGCATTGTGTATAGTAAACTTCCACATGTTTTTAAAAGGGGAATGTATGTACATAGAATATTTCTGAAACGCTCCACAAGATATTAGTAATGGGAATTGCTTATAGGCAATAGGAAAGAGATATAGAGGGCTGGGAGTGTAGAAGGGTCAAGATTTAAGATAATACTTCTGTATACCTCTTTATGGTGTTTGTTTTTTTTATTTTGTGCATATACATATATTACTTTTTTAATTAAAAATAGCTAATTTTTAAAAGAAATATTATACATCAGATTTTGTGATAGAGGGGGTATTTGCAAACTCTTTAGGATGAAGGGAATTTTCTTTGTGAGCAATTGTATAAAAGGATATTTACTTTAATAAATGGATATTTATTATAACACCGAGATTTATCTCCTTCATTTATGTATCTTGTGTAGTTTACAGAGTTCCATGTCCATTGCCTGACTTAGTGTTCATAGCAACCTTTTGAAATAGTTGTGACACATACTAGAAGCAATGCTTTACAAATTAAAACAAAACAAAACGAAAGAAAAAACCCTAAAATCTAAAGAAATTAAAAACCTAGAACATATTATATGGAAAGAAGTTTAGAGTCATGACATGACTGTGATGTAGTACAAACCTGGACATTTTGCACTCTTAAGAGTTACCAAGAAGTTTATGAATAGTATTTTTAAAGTCTTCAACAATACTCCTCACAATGTTGATCTCTTACCTAAGGACACTTGCATAGAGGAGGAAGAAGGCAGAAAAATAAACCTCCTGAAACTCTTCATAAAATATGCCTAATATTAGAAGGTAAATGGTCAACTAACAACTGGTTGAAAATTAACATTAAAGAAGTTGCATTCATAATCTCACTCTATAGATTTTCAGCTTTGCTTTAGAACAAAGCTAAAATAATTACCTCAATGGAAAAAGATGGAGATTTCAAAGCGTCACTACTAAATCTTGAAAAATACCCTTAAGGTTTATGGGTTAGGGTTATAGTATCTCCCAGTTTCCCTGGGACAACCCCAATTTATATCTCCTGTCTCCGTATAATTACTCATAACACCCCTTTCATTCTCCAAAGTGCCCTAATTTAGATGATAAACTATATCTCCACACTATTAAATATCAATCTCTATTCTCTATACACCTTTAAGATTGTCATTTTCTAGAAATTGGGCTTCATCTTGGGGCTAAGAATTACCTTCATTCATGCCAAAGCTGAGTGATATATACTCAGATCGTAACTGCATATATGACTCTCAAATAAGAAAGAGAAGTTTTCCAAACCATTACCCACCAGCAGCTTTAGCTTTATTAAAGAGATTAATAGTGGGAAGGGAGACTCAGGGTCTGGTTTAGAAGTTTTGGCGTGTTGAGGTTTTCAAGGGAAATGTGAACTAAGAATGACTTGGTGAGACTGATGTAAAGATAAATAATTGATACCACATAACACAGTTTTTTTGTTTGTTTGTTTTTTTGAGACGGACTCTCGTTCTGTCGCTAGGCTAGAGTGCAGTGGCACGATCTCAGCTTACTGCAACTTCCGCTCCTGGGTTCAAGCGATTCTCCTGCCTCAGCCTCCCAAGTAGCTGGGACTAGAGACGCGCGCCACCACTCCCAGCTGATATTTGTATTTTTAGTAGAGACGGGGTTTCACCATGTTGGCCAAGATGGTCTCGATCTCTTGACCTCGTGATCCGCCCACCTCGACCTGCCAAAGTGTTGGGATACAGGCGTGAGCCACCGCGCTTCTAAGTGATGCTCCTCCAGAGTCATTCATGTGTCATTTACTGGTTAACATTTGGAGAGTGGCTCCTGGGAGTAAGACACTGTTCTAAGCACTGCATCAGCTTTGTCAATAGTTTTAGGGACTTTGTACTAAATTTCCAGTGGTTTGTTGAGATGTATTTTTTTACATCAGATTTTAACATCAGATGCTATACATCAGATTACAGATCAGATTTTATACATCAACCTGTCTCTGAGCTCTTTCTGACTAGCACTCTTTAGAATTTCTGTGACTTATAACTACTCTATTTGATCATTAGAAAGATTATTCCCATAGCCCAGGTAGGTTGAATAGTAGCTGCAATTTTTTTTCATGTAACAAATAAATGTATTTCTTCCATAGAACAAGCAACTGAATCCAAAGCCAAGTTGGCTATCACAGTACAGCATCTTTTACTCAGCGGTAAGCAGACCACCTCTCCAGAATATATAACTATGGAGACTTAAGGCAATGCCACAGGTTGCTTTTAAGATGTGTCTGCCTGCTACATTCTCTGCAGCACATGGCACTTAAATTGAAGTTATCATGTAGTGATTACTTGAGGTTTCTGTGTGAAGTATTAAAGAATATTTTAATTGTTCTTTTATGTTTAGATTTACACTTTTAACAAAATATTTTCAGAACATGAATATTAACAGGCATGTACCAAAGGTCATGCATTCAGAGTCTGTCTCTGCAGGAGTTAGGTCTTGGTTCTGAATCCAACTGTTTGATTTGATTCCCCCAGTTGTTTTTGTTTACATACGTCTTATGTTTATTTCTCCCCTTTCTTTACTTTCTTGGAAATCTTTTTTTCCTATCCCATTACCAAACTTTTCACAAAAGGAATCTTACGGGTTTTTCTTTTGTTCTAATCATCACTGGTTGAGTGGTTACTGTCACTGCCTTCACTGTCACTGTCACTGTCACTTCCATTGTTGTTACCGTTACCAGACTTGCTCTGGCTGTCACTCTCATCATTGCTGTCAGATGTGCTGTCACTGCTATCACTGCTGTCGCTGCTGTCACTGCTGTTGCTGCTGTCACTGCTATCGCTGCTGTCACTGCTGTCGCTGCTTTCATTGCTGTCACTGCTGTCGCTGCTGTCACTGCTGTCGCTGCTGTCACTGCTGTCGCTGCTGTCACTGCTGTCACTGCTATCACTACTATCGCTGCTGTCGCTGCTATCGCTGCTGTCGCTGCTGTCACTGCTATCACTGCTGTCGCTGCTATCACTGCTATTGCTGCTGTCACTGCTATCGCTGCTGTCGCTGCTGTCGCTGCTATCGCTGCTGTCACTGCTGTCGCTGCTGTCACTGCTGTCGCTGCTTTCACTGCTGTCACTGCTGTCACTGCTGTTGCTGCTGTCACTGCTATCACTGCTGTCGCTGCTGTCACTGCTGTCACTGCTATTGCTGCTGTCACTGCTGTCACTGCTATCGCTGCTGTCACTGCTATCGCTGCTGTCGCTGCTGTCGCTGCTATCGCTGCTGTCACTGCTATTGCTGCTGTCACTGCTATCACTGCTTTCACTGCTATCACTGCTGTCGCTGCTGTCACTGCTGTCACTGCTATCACTGCTGTCGCTGCTGTCACTGCTGTCACTGCTATTGCTGCTGTCACTGCTGTCACTGCTATCGCTGCTGTCACTGCTATCGCTGCTGTCACTGCTATCGCTGCTGTCACTGCTGTTGCTGCTGTCACTGCTATTGCTGCTGTCACTACTATTACTGCTATCACTGCTGTCACTGCTGTCACTGCTATCACTGCTGTTGCTGCTATCACTGCTGTCACTGCTGTCACTGCTATCACTGCTGTCACTGCTATCGCTGCTGTTGCTGCTGTCACTGCTGTCGCTGCTATTGCTATCACTGCTGTCACTGCTGTTGCTGCTGTCACTGCTATTGCTGCTGTCACTACTATTACTGCTGTCACTGCTATCACTGCTGTCACTGCTGTTGCTGCTGTCACTGCTATTGCTGTTGTCACTACTATTACTGCTTTCACTGCTATCACTGCTGTTGCTGCTATCACTGCTGTCACTGCTGTTGCTGCTATCACTGCTGTCACTATCACTGCTGTTGCTGCTATCACTGCTGTCACTGCTATTGCTGCTTTCGTTGCTGTCACTGCTATCACTGCTGTCACTGCTGTTGCTGCTGTCACTGCTATCGCTGCTGTCACTACTATTACTACTGTCACTTCTATTGCTGCTGTCGCTATCACTGCCGTCACTGCTATCGCTGCTGTCGCTGCTATCACTGCTGTTGCTGCTATCGCTGCTGTCACTACTATTACTGCTGTCACTGCTATTGCTGCTGTCGCTATCACTGCTGTCACTGCTATCACTGCTATCACTGCTGTTGCTGCTATCACTGCTGTTGCTGCTATCACTGCTGTCACTGCTATTGCTGCTGTCGTTGCTATCACTGCTGTTGCTGCTGTCACTACTATCACTGCTGTCACTGCTATCACTGCTGTCACTGCTGTTGCTGCTGTCACTGCTATCGCTACTGTCACTGCTGTTGCTGCTGTCACTGCTATCACTGCTGTCACTGCTGTTGCTGCTGTCACTGCTATCGCTGCTGTTGCTGCTGTCACTATCGCTGCTGTTACTATTACTGCTGTCACTACTATCACTGCTGTCACTATCACTGCTGTCACTACTATCACTGCTCTCACTGCTATTGCTGCTGTCACTACTGTCACTACTATCACTGCTGTTGCTGCTGTCACTGCTACTGCTGCTGTCACTGCTATCACTGCTGTCACTACTATCACTGCTGTTACTGCTATTGCTGCTGTCGCTGCTATCACTGTTGTCACTACTGTCACTGCTGTTGCTGTCACTGCTGTCTGACTTACTGTCACTATCACTGCTGTCGCTCTCTGATTTGCTGCTGTCTGACTTGCTGTCACTGCTGTCACTACTATCACTACTGTCACTGCTATCACTGCTGTCACTACTGTCACTGCTATTGCTGCTATCACTACTATCACTGTCACTGCTATCACTGCTGTCACTGTCACTGCTGTCACTATCACTGCTACTGTTGCTATCACTGCTGTCACTGTCACTGCTGTCACTACTATCACTGCTATTGCTGCTATCACTACTATCACTGTCACTGCTATCTGATTTACCTTTGCCACTGTCTGATTTGTCATTGTCATCATTCCCATTGTTACCATTGCCATTACTGTCACTATTATTAGTGTCTGATGTGCTATCACTGTCATCATCTTCTGCTCCTTTTGAGTCACTGCCATTGCCATTATCTTTTGATTCATCAGAGTTATAAGAAGCATCTCCTCGGCTACTGCTGTTATTGTCACTTTCTGAATTAGCATCATCATTGCCATTAGATTCATCACTGCTATTGGGATCATCTCCTTGCATGGACTTATCATCAAAATCATAACTGTCATATCCATCACTATTGCTGTCACTACCTGTATTGCTGTGTCCAACTTTATTTCCTGGTTCTGATTTTTGGCCAGGTCCTTCTATGTTGACAACCTCTCCTTGTGTCTTGACATTGCCTTTGCCCAAGATCATTCCATGTTGTCCTTTATCCTCTTTACCTTCGTTGCCTTTCCCAACTTCTTTGGTAATATTTCTGTTGCCACTGCTGGGACCCTTGATTTCTATTCCCTATGGAAGGATGGAGGAAAGAATGATTAACTAGTGAATATTTGCTGCAAAATTGCATTGATCTGAGGAAGAATAACTGGGAAAAGTTGCCATAGGGATAGGAGTTACATTTCTAGTACTTCACAGTTATTTGTGAAAATGTGCTTTATTCTGTAATTGAAAGCATCCTGGTGCTTAGATTCCTTAAAAATTCATCCACATTCCTACCCAGTAGGAACTTTTGTAAACAATTACATGGGGATCCATGATTTCACATAAGACTTTTCTAGAATTATAACTAAGTTATCAGAAATGTAAGATGTTTAAAGTTGTTCTATCTCGAAGTCTAGTAAGGACTCTAGATTTCCTTAAATAGTCAAGTAATATGGATACAAAAATACATGGATGCTTGTCATGGTTTATTTTTGTGCTAGCATCAATAGATGGAGGGGAAGAATTTAAACTGCCATTGAAAGAAATCAGCTTTACAAACTAACCTTATCTTGGCTCTTCCCAACAGCATGTGTCTCTGATTCTTTGGTGATTCTATTTTCTACGCGTTTGCTTTCTCTATGGTTGAGCTTCTGGGTGTCCTCTATTCTTTGGCTGCCATTGTCTTCTGGAATACCAGCAGAATTCTCCTCACTCTTGGAGGTCTTGTCTCCATCAACTTCATTATGGGGATCTTCTTTGCCTTCAGGGTCATAATATTCTTTACTATCTGAATTTTGACCTATGCTACTATCATGATCATCTTCTTTCCCATGGTCCTGGCCCTCCTGGCCCTTGCTGTTATTACTACTGTCTTTTCCATTCCCTGCTTCTTCATCTTCATCATCACCAGAACCCTCGTCTTCATCCTCATCTGCTCCATTCCCACTAGGACTCCCATCGGAATTATCCAGGCCAGCATCTTCTCCAGTGCCTGGTGTTACCTCAGCTTCCTTAGTCCCATTTCTCTTGCTGTTGATCTGAGGTGTTATTTCACTTGTATTACCCTCGTTTCTACAGGAATTCTCAATTATTTCATCCTCATTGTCTGTACTGTTATTGCTTCCAGCTACTTGAGGTCCATCTTCTTGGACAACAGCGACATCCTCATTGTGACCTGCATCGCCAACATCCCCATTTTGGGTATTCTTATCAGTATTTCCATTAGTGTTGCTTCTGTTTGTGGCTCCAGCATTGTCAATGATGCTTACTTGTCCCTGGATGCCATTTGCTGTGATGTTTTCTTCTTTCCCATGTATTCCATCATGACCATATGTTTCTGCTTTTCCTGTGTCCCCATTCCAGCCCTCAATATTCCCCTCTTCGTTTGCTAATGTGGAATATGTAGAAAAACTCTTCCCTCCTACTTCTGCCCACTTAGAGCCATTCCCTTCTCCCTTGTGACCATCTTGGGTATTCTCTTGCCTTCCTCTATCACCTTCATGCACCAGGACACCACTTTCTTTGATGGTTCCACTGGCATTTAACTCATCCTGAAAAAGAAACAATTCAATCAATTATAAGTATCAATGATCTTGAAGGAAAGCAAATTGCAATCTTGGAGAAGTTAATGGAATGTAGCAACTCAGAAATAGGAAATAAAATGAAATATATTACATCCTATACCTGTACTGACACATTTGATCTTGCTAGGAGATGCAAATTCATGGATTTTTCGACATGTCTCTCCAGTGGTTTGCTTTGAGGAACCTGCCAAGTAGAAAATACTGGCTATTGAAAAGGTTCTTATTTGTGAATATGTGTGTGAGCGTGCACACACACACACACACACACACACACACAAATATTCTTCCCTCCATGAAGAAGAAAGGTTTAACACAAAGGCCAAAGTATGATCTAATCAGATAGAAAAGAGAAGTGGCTTCTTACAGGGCTTGTGTAGAATTTAAACTGGGTACATGGATATTTTTCACTGTGGTATTACCAATTTTATGGACGTGTTAGATCAGCCCACTTATCTCAACTGTAGAAGGAAAGAGTCTTGTAGAAAGACGAGGGGATAGACCTCTGGTGTTTCTCTACAAAAAGCCTCTTGCACTAGCACAAACCCGCTCTAAGTGTAATCCTGATGAAAACTCTTAAGAGAACAGGAGGCGTGACCAGAGCCTGCACAGAGGCAAAATCAAGTATTACGCTAGTATACTTCTGTGCTCTGCAAGAGCACATTTGAAATACTTGAGAACATTTTCAACTACATAAATACCAAATGTTTGGTATTATGAAAGCATATGAAAATGTTAAACATGATGGCTGGCTAGTAAAATTATAAATGGTTGAATTTTCTCAATTTTTTATTGGTTTTCATCATATATTCCAAATTTTCCACAGTGAGCACATAAATAATAACTCTGAGTGAAAAATTAGTCTCCTATATGTTGAAAAAAAATCTACTTTTTCTTATTATTCTTTCTTGGAAACTTCCTAAACAGCACAGACTTTGTTCGTATTAGAATGAAATTCACAGAGTATGAAGCAAAGATGGACAAAGTCTCCATGACTTCTGGGCATTAAGTGTAAATTAATCTGAATAAATGTTTTAAATAATAATAATCCTTCAGACGAGATATGAGTTTCTATAGAGGAATGAGACGATGAATTGGAGTGGTTTTGTTGAAACCTCACAGATATCACATAAAGCCCTTAGTGCAAATCTAAATGTTTAGACTCAGCCTGTTAAAAAAAATTAAGGAAACATATATACACACACACATATATACACACATGTACATGCACACACACACACACACACACACACACACACACTACATTTTGTATTAATGTTAGGTTAAAAAAGATAACAAAGTGAAGAGGTTTTCTAAGAAAGGCATACTTACTGGAATGGCCCATGCTACTGCCCAAATGCAAAAATATGTAATTATCTTCATTTTCTTTAGGAATAATAATAATCAATGGCTGTATAAAAAAGGAACAGCACAAAATTACTTATAAAGTAAAGGGAAAATCATAGTACTATATTATTTTGATGTGTAAGCATTTGCCCTTTTCCTGGACAAGAAGCATGTATCTAACACGAGAAGACATACGATGGTCCAGAACATACCTGGTGTGGTTATGGGGGCATCACCAGGCTCAGCACTAATGTAGCTTCCTAGATTTTTTTCTGCCTGTGCCAATGAAGGAAAACGCCATAATAGGTACAAAGGGCATAGCTGTAACTTTGTTCTTCTGCAATTCTTGGGTGTAAAAACATCTATTTCTCTTCTGAATAGCTTTAATCAAGTACTAACTAATTCTGCTGAAATTGTGCTTCAAAGGTAAAACACTTGTCATCCTTACTCCAAATCTATAGAATTGAGCTATACCAGACTTTAAGAGAAAGAAATTACTAACATGAGGGAGCCTACGCTAGTGGAAAGAATACGGGGTTTGTATTCAGAGACCTGGGTTCAAATGTTACCCCTGCTACTTGCTGTGTAAGCTTGAGAAATTTAAGTAGGTTTATTATCCCTCCACCTGGAATAATAACAACACCTGCACCTCAGGATTATCCTGAAGTTTGGTAGAATTATCTCTGAGAAGCCCTCTCTGACGCCACTTCAAAGGGTATTTGGTATCTCTTTCCTTTTTATACCAAGGAAGTTTGCACGTCTCACTGGTAACGCATTGCACTGTTTAAAATTGCCTAGTTACTTATGTGTTGCCCTGATTTCCTGTAAGCTCCTGAGGCCCAGGAGAGTGTCTTGGTGATTATTGTATTCCAATGCAAAGCACAGAAAAAAACGTTTTCTGAATGTTGTTGATAAATATTTATGACTATCAGCAATATCTAGCATTGCTTCAGGCACTTTGCAATTTTTGAATAAATGATAGCAATTATTTTATGGGACTTCTAAAATCATGATTCTTCATCCCTGTTAGAATTCAAATTCAGAAATGGTCTAAAACATGTTTCTGATAAGTTGGAATAGACATTTTATAATCTGTGTGAGTAAAAAAATTAATTTATATTGCAAGTTGGATTTCTTGAAGTAATGATAGAAAGGAGAGTTTTACTCCTATTTCATGAACTCCCACCAGATGTATAGATTATAATGCTGCATGTCATAAAATGGCTTTGATTGAATTTAATGGTGGTAGTGAAAATATAATAAAACTTCACTGAATATCAACTGTCATGAGAATTACTGGCGTTTTCTCACAGGAGAGATGACACAGTTCCAGAGCTACTGAGGGGGAAAAAAGTGCTCATTCTTATAGCTGTTCAACAGAAAGCCAAGAACAGCTAGAGCTCCTTCTGAAATGCCATAGATTCAAGTGAGGCTGAGGTGACACCAGGACAAGTATCATGCAGAGCTCTGGGGCACAGATGTTGAAGGCCAGCTGTTTACTAAGCCACAGTTATCCTGTACTTTGCAGTCCCAAGCCTAATCATTACATAGCTCTGCAGAAGGCCCGTCTGCACTGTGATTTGGAAGAGCCTCAGCATACTGGAAAGGTACCTGCAGCCAAGGCCAGAGTGATGCGTGTCCAGTTTCTGAGCTACAGTTCAGAAATCTGACCACTACATCTCTCTTTCAGCTCCACTCCTGAACAATTCCATGATGGTTATCACCGTTTCCAAGGCAGGTGAATGACTTCGAAGACTACAATAAAAATGGCCCAGGTGATCTCAGCATGAAACAAAGACTTCAGAATTTGTGAAGCTCCATCAGATTATTTCATTTATTGTTACTAATGAAATGAGATTTAGCTTCATTTCATTTAGCAATTAGATTTGGCATCATTAGTGATTGCTAAATTTCATTTCATGTGGGACAATAAATAATAAGTAATAGTAAGTAATAAAATACTAAAAAGCAAAGCCTAATTGAAGCCTTGTTTGAAAGCCCAAGGTGGATTTTTGAAATCTGAGTTATCTCATTTTTTATCAAAACTAATCAAAGTGCCCAGATAGTTAATTGTCAAATTTCCACCTCAGTTGGCCAATTTTTCAGTACGAGGTCTTTCTTCTTCCCAATCTATCTCTTCCTTAGGTCGTAATTGTCCGTTATCTTTTATACATACTATCAATATGACAAGTCAAAAAGGAAGCATACAATCTAATCATTAAGGGGTACTCGCTTCTTAAAATCAAACTGGCTTCATCTTTGAAATTCAAAGTTCTTTCTAAATGAATCAGTTGGTTCTGAGTAAAAAGGATATTTCATCTTACCTTAAAAGGCTTCAAAAGGATTTTGAAAATCCAGAATTTCTTATCTTTCTCTTTGAAGACTGAAAGTGGCCCACTGTCCTGGACTTTTGCATGACAATTTTGTACTTGCCGAAATTTAAACTCAGTTTGATAATTTTCTCAACCAATCACTGTTTAGGATCCCTGATATGGGGTTATAAAGTGTCATCGAGTCTATGAAGCACATAATAACTTCCCCACTTCCTTCACTTGGTGATATGTATTTGCTCACTGAACCGTTCGGTTCCAAAAGGACTAGACTTACTTTCACTTAATTAAACAGCTCCTATGAGGCTGTTTCACATCTTAAATATAGAGAATCAGTGTAAGATACCTGAAAAGAGCCACTTAAACTCTGTCACCCTGACATTTCTTGTCTTACCAAGGTTGGCAATCTAAGAAAACTCTAGGTTTCTTTAGTAAATATGACTGCCTATTTAAGACCCCTATCATTCTTGAGGTAGGTATTAAAGTTTCTGTGCTATAATTCAAGAAACTGTCCACATGCAGCAGCCTTGACGTTGCCTGAGGGATCTTTAACAATCTATAAACAGTAACTCCCCTGAAATCTCTCTGATTTAACTGAAATAAGCAGTGACATAAAAGCTTAAAAATCTATCAATTGAGTATTCAAACTACATTTCAAAAACAGACATTGAAAATGTCAAAAGTAGCAAGATGTCCAAAGGTGCATAAAGACAACAGATTTAGCTGTCCATTATCTCTCAATTATCTGTGTTAGCTGCAGAATGCAAAGTAGAAAACTAGACTTTATGTCTAACAAGTTTTGCAACATGAGTGCACCATTCTCTTGAACCCTAGATGTACTATAATGCAGGTAATCCCTAAACTATTTCTTCAATTCATGCATTCAAAAACTTGACCGTCTTTCTCTATATACTTGTTTAGAATTTTCAGGAATATGCCAATTTTTGTGTTACAATATTAAAGAAGGTGAAACACATAAGACCACTAATGCTATATCACTATGCAACAGTGGTATCTCCAGAAACTATATATACAAAAATATATGGTATTTATATACAAATAAAGCTTTATATGTAGGGAAAAAGTAAGGTTAAAAGGAAGTGAATTGAATGGGAAGGAAATTTGCCTTGAAGCTGTTTTCATAGTGAATGCTTTGTTTTTATTCATATAGCATGTTTACTTGGGCAGATTAAAGGGCCTAAGAACTTTTAACAAGGCTCGAGTCACTTATGGGAGTGACACCCTTACCCACACACACATTCATCAGTGGAGGTTGGTGAACTAAACCTGCCTTTCTTTTCCTTAATTTGAATTAACATGAATTATGGTTAGAGATTTCAATAGCCATCTATTAATAATTGAAAGAAAAATATAATGGATATACAACCTTTAAACAGAAGTATCATCCAACTTGATCTAATTGACATTTACAGACGACTTCATCCAACAACAGAAGAATAAACATTCTTTTCAAGTGTACCTGCACCATTTACCAAGATAGAACGTATTCTGAGCCCCAAAATGAATCTCAATAAATTTAAAAGAATTCAAGTCGTACAAATTATGTTTACTGACCACAATGGAAGGCAATCAGAAATCAATAACAAAAGAATTCTGGAAAACCGCAAGTATTTTAAGGCTAAGTGGAACACTCATAAATAGTCAATGGGTGAAAGAAGAAACCAAAAGGGAAATTCAAAATATATGGGATGACTGAAAATGAAAGCATAGCATATCAAAATCTGTGGGATGTCACTAAAGCAGTTATTTAGGATGAAATTATAGCACTAAATAACCATATATGAAGAGAAGAAGTTTTGAAACAATGACCTCATTTTCCACCAAAGAAGGAAAAATTAAGTTCAAAGTATGTAGAGAAAAGGAAATAATAAAGATCAGAACTGAAATTAATTAAATAGAAAACAGAAAAACAATAGAGACAGTCAGTGAAACCAAAGCTGATTCTTTGAGAAGTTCAATAAAATTTAGGAGATTCTTTCCAGACTAATGAGGGAAATAAAGGAGAAGACACAAATGAGCAATATCAGGAATGAGAGAAATGACAATTCTACAGATTTTATAGACATTCTATAAATATTCTATAAGGGATAATAAGGAAATACTAGGAACATCTTTATGTTAATAAATTAAAAACTTAGACAAAGTGGGTAGATTCCTTAAAACCAACAAAGCTCACTCAAGGAAAAATAGATAACTTCAATTGCCCCGTATCTATTAAAGAAATTAAATTCATAGTTTAAAACTTGCCCAGAGAGAAAACTTTGGGCCCAGATGGTTTCACTTGAGAGGCATTGGTTGTTCAGTGGTAGAATTCTTGCTGCCCAAATGGTTTCACTGACAAATTCTATGACGTATTTAAGGAAGGTATCATTCCAATCCTACACAAACTCCTCCAGAAAATTGAGAAGGAGAAAATACTTCACAGCTCATTATATGATGCCAACATTATCCCAATACCAAAACCAAAAATGTTATAAGCATATACTACTACTGACCTATATCCATCATAAATGTTAATACAAAATTTTTAAATATAATGTTAGTGAATCAAACCCAATAATATGTTTTTAAAAGATAATACATGATGAGCAAGTAAAATTTATTCCAGGTGTGCAAGGCTGACTTAACATTTAAAAATTAATCAACGTGGCTGGCGCAGTGGCTCACGCCTGTAATCCCAGCACTTTGGGAGGCCGAGGTGGACGGATCACGAGGTCAGGAGATCGAGACCATCCTGGCTAACACGGTGAAACCCCGTCTCTACTAAAAACACAAAAAATTAGCCGGGCGTGGTGGCAGGCACCTGTAGTCCCAGCTACTCGGTAGGCTGAGGCTGGAGAATGGCGTGAACCTGAGAGGCGGGGCTTGCAGTGAGCCGAGATCACACCACTGCACTCCAGCCTGGGCGACAGAGCGAGACTCCGTCTCAAAAAAAAAAAAAAAAGCAATTTAATTCACCATATTAACAAAGACAGAAAACCACATAATCTCATTGGCAAAGAAAAACATTTCAAAAATCCAACATTCACTTCTGATTTTTAAAATCTCACTAGACAAATAAAACACATTTCAAAAATTGACCATCCATTTCTGATTTTAAAAATCCCATTAGGCAAAGAAGAAACATTTCAAAAATCCAACATTCACTTCTGATTTTAAACACCTCTTTAGGCGGCTGGGCGCAGTGGCTCACCTGTAATCCTAGCACTTTGGGAGGCCGAGGTGGGCGAATAACTTGAGGTCAAGAGTTCGAGACCAGCCTGGCCAACATGATGAAACCCCGTCTCTACTACAAATACAAAAAAAATTTAGCTGGGCGCAGTGGCAGATTCCTGTAATCCCAGCAACTTGGGAGGCTGAGGCATGAGACTTGCTTGAACCCAGGAGGCGGAGATTGCAGTGAGCCGAGATCACACCACTGCACTCCATCCTGGGTGACAGAGCGAGACTCCGTCTCAAAAAAAAAAAAAAAAAAAAAAAAAAAAAAAAAAACTCATTAGGCAAATAAAATACATTTCAAAAATCCAACGTTCACTTCCGATTTTTAAAATCTCATTAAGCAAGGAAGAAACATTTCAAAAATCCAACATTCAGTTCTGATTTAAAAAATAAACAAAAGCTCTCAGCTATCTAAGAATAGAAGGGAACTTCCTCAACCTGATAAAAGGCATCTTTTGGTGCAAAAGTAATTGTGTTTTTTGCAATTACTTTTTTTTTTTTTATACTTTAAGTTTTAGGGTACATGTGCACAACGTGAAGGTTAGTACATATGTATTCATGTGCCATGTTGGTGTGCTGCACCCATTAACTCGTCATTTAACATTAGGCATATCTTCTAATGCTATCCCTCCCCCCACCCCACAACAGGCCCCGGTGTGTGATGTTCCCCTTCCTGTGTCCATGTGTTCTCATTGTTCAATTCCCACTTATGAGTGAGAACATGCGGTGTTTGGTTTTTTGTCCTTGCGATAGTTTGCTGAGAATGATGGTTTCCAGCTTCATCCATGTCCCTACAAAGGATATGAACTCATCATTTTTTATGGCTGCATAGTATTCCATGGTGTATATGTGCCACATTTTCTTAATCCAGTCTATCATTGTTGGACATTTGGCTTGGTTCCAAGTCTTTGCTATTGTGAATAGTGCCGCAATAAGTTTTATGACAAACCCTCAGCCAATATCATACTGAATGGGCAATTACTTTTAATGGCAAAACCGCACTTACTTTTGCACCAACCTAATAACATCATACTTAATGCTTACCTACTGAATGCTTTCCCCCAGTATCAGAAGCAAGGCAAATATATCTGCTCTCACCATTTCTATTCAATATTGTTCTTGAGTTTCTAAGAAAGAAAAGAAATAAAAGGCATTCAGATTGGAAAAGAAGAAGAAGTTAAATCGTCTTTATTTCGCGGACAATATGATCATCTATGTAGAGCATCCAAGTGAATATACAAAAAGGTTACTAGAACTAATAAGTGAGTTAAGTAAGGTTATAGGATATGATATCAATAATAAAAAAATTTCTATTTGCTAGCAATTAACAATCAAACATTTAAATTAAAAACAATCAGTTTATAATTTCATCAACAGTACAATATGTAGTGATAAATCTGAAGACTTGAACATTGAAAAACTGCAAATATTGCTGAGAGAAGTTAAAGACTATTTAAATAAATCAAGATCTATAACATGATAATGGGTCAAAAAACTCAATACTAAGATGTCAAGTCTCCAAAAGTTTATCTATAGATTCAATACAATGCCAATTAAAATCCATGAAGAAATTTGGAAAGTTATTCTAAAATTCTCATGGAAATGCAAGGGAATTAGAATAGCCAAAGTAATTTTTCAAAAGAAAAAGAGGGCTCATTAGGTTAGGTTAGACTCACTCAGGTTTTCCTTTAAGGTCAATTTATTAGTAAACTTAATTACATCTGCCTAATCACTTTTGCCACATAATAAGACATAACCATGGGAATGATATCTCATTGTATTTACAGGTTCCACTCCCACTCAAAGGGAAGGGGATTATATAAGGGTGAGGGACATTGGGGCTTATCTTAAAATTCTACTTACCACACGTTTTAATCTATAGTGACAGAAAATAGATCAGTGGATGCCTGAGGTCAAGGGGGAAGGAGTGGGAGGAAGGAGTTATAAAGGACCACAAGGAAACTTGAATGGAGACTTTTCATTGTCTTGATTGTGGTGATGGTTTCATGGCTGTTTGCCTACAACAAAACTTATCAAATTGTACACTTTAAATATGCGCAGTTTCTTGTGCATCTCAGCATTTATATCTCAGTAAAGCTGGTTTTGAAAAAAAGAAGTAATTAACCCGTTTCTGCCAGCTCCATTTCAAATCCTGTAAATTGAGAAGCTAAAACTAAGGCTTTATAGTAAGGAATTGCCAAAAGGAAACATAAACCCCAATTTGTTGTGGAAACTGAACAATTACCTAAAATTTAAGATCAGAACTCAGAAATCTACCTCAATTTAGTAACTAAGTAAGTTCTTTAAAAACCCTTAATTAGAATCAATTACTCTGTTCCTAAGGAAAGAGTTTGAAATTGAACTCTTCACCTAGTTAGCTATTCTATTACCATGATTTTGAACCATTTGCCTTCCTGTTTTCTTCAATTTGGATGAACATCACTGAGCCAAATAGCAAAACTAAGGCAAGAATAGTAATAGCAGCATAGCCACAGAGGATCATCCAACTCAAATTACTTTAAATTGGTGCAAGACCTGTTCACAAAACCAGCAGAAGGCATTTGAGTAGAAGTTCACTGCATATGCAGATTTACAACATCCCTGCTGGGTGTCTTTGATTGGCGGAAGTTTAAAAGGCAAAAATCTTCAATTCAATTTCTCAATATTGGATTAATGACACTGCAATTCAGAAGACAGATACAATATTAATTTGGGAAATACGAGTAACATTTAAATTGGGGGATTTTTAGTAAAGCAGACTTCCCTTCATAATATGGATGGGTCTCATGCAGCCAGCTGAAGGTCTGAATAAAACAAAAGACTGATCTCCCTCAGGCAAGGAGGAATTCTTCAACAGCCAGTTTTGAACTTGAACCACAACATCAGCTCTTCCCTAGGCCTCCAGTCTATCTGCTCATTCTGCAAGTTTTGGGCTTACCAGCCTCAAAAACCAAGTGTGGGAACTCTAAACAATCCTCTCTATGTATATACATGCATCCAATTGGTTCTGCTTCTCAAGAGAACCTAGAATAATATATTCACCAAGTCCAAGTCCTGTGCTTGTCATAAACTTTCTTAGAATTGTTGGAAAGTGATATATTTTAAATTAAACCCCAAAACTTTGATACGTTATTTTATTCAGTATTATAAGTAAATTACTAATCTTTGGTAAAAACAGAAGTTTAATGGCTTCCATTCTTACTCCCATCGTGGGTGTTGAGCCTCCTAATAGACTCATTTGTCACCAGTCTCTGCTTCTGCCTATCCCAAATCTCCCATATAAATACCAAAAAAAACTTTCTAAAATCAAATCTAATTATGGCACTACTTTGATTCAAACTTTTCAGTAGTTGTTTAGTCTGGCTTTGAACTTCTCAAATGATCCAGCTTCAGCTTGGGCCACTCACTCTCCTCTGAGAACTCAAAGAAGCTGAAGCACAATCTGTTCTGGGAATATCACAGAGATGCAGGCCTGAGATATAGCCAGCATCTGATTTCCAGGCGTCCTGTATATACAAGAGGTGTCCTGTACTAAATGATTTTGTCCTGAGTCCTATATTGGCTTTGCCAGGATGGCTTAAATGTCCTGTATTCAGTTGTTTTTCCAATAACTACAAAAAGTTTGTAGTTAGTTTTCTGCCACAGTTATTGGTGCTTGAATCTTAAATGGTAACACTAGCTAAAAAGTCATACCTCCACAAATAAAAATCTGGACAATCCTTTAAGATTCCTCTTGCAGGCTTGGCTGAGGACAGACCAAAAGGGGGAACTGAAAATTAAAATACTTATTTTTCATACTCAAAAGAGGAAGACTGTCCTTTGGCTAATGGCCCAACTCATGAACAAATAACCACCATTAATTAGCAGTAACAGATCTGTACACATGCTCTGAAAATCAGCCAATCAGCAACTTCCTTGCACCAGTAACTGTTTCCAAAAGTTAGGAAATCAATGGCCCAAGCTCTGGAATTCAGCTAATCATGACAAGTCTATGCCTCTAGATAATAGCCAATCAGTAAATGCCTTACTCTAGTGACCACATTAAAACGTCTGAAAGTCCATCAATTCCTGAATGTCAGGCTTCCCTAACCAACAATTTGGAAAGACTGTGTCTTGCTACAGATCTACCTTGTAGGCAAAGGGAAAGTTCACCTTTTTTACATCTGATACTGAGTTCAATTTATTGCTAGTTGGTCTTTCAACATTTCAGTCCCTGTTTATGATTAGCTATGAGTTCTGATTTGTGAGTGACATATTATTGTTACTGTTAGGTTATCAAATTCAGTCCTTTCAATTCTAGTGGTGGCTGCTCTTCGTTTGAATTTGTGTATCTTTGAACATCAAAACGCCAAAATGTAAGTGTAAATTTTGTAATAAATTTTCTGAACAGTGGATATTTATTAAATGAGGGAAAAAATCCTCTGGAAACTGTTAATATTTGTGCATTTCCAAATTGTTCATTTAGTATAAAAAATTATGAAATGTTAGATATAAACCAACAGATGCTAACTAAACATAAGAGATACATGATTTCATCAACTACTACCAAAAATGTGATAAAATAATAAATTTTTAAGATAAATTCAGATAAGGAAGATAAACTAATCACAGCAGAAGTTTTGATGGCTTTTCTTAGTTCAGGCTGATATAACAAAATACCATAAACTGGGTGGTTTATCAACAACAGAAATTTATTTCTTACAGTTCTAGGGCTGGGATGCCCAAGATCAAGGAATTGGCAGATTCAGTGTCTGGTGAGAACTCCCTTCCTCATAGGTGGCCCCTTCTTGCTGAGTCTTCACATGGTAGAAGGGGCAATCAAGCGCCTTCATTCAGGGCTCTTTTGAAAGGGAACTAATCCCACCGAAAGCAAAGCATGACCTAATAACCTTCTAAAGACACCATCCCTTAATTACTATTGCATTAGAGATTAGGTTTCCACATACGAATTTTGCAGGGGGACACAAATATTCAGACCACAGCATATCTCACATAAACTATGTGAGATACTGTTCTATTCATCATGCTAGTTGTTGCCTAAACATCTTGTTTTTTTCATTGTATTATTGTTCTATAGGCCTTGTTGGATTTATGCTTTAAGGAGGTTCTGTTTTGGTATATTTTGAAGTTTTGTTTCAAGATTCAGAACTCCTTTTAGCATTTCTTGTAGTGCAGGCTTGATGGTGGCAATTTCTCTCAGCATTTGTTTGTCTGAAAAAGACTTTATCTCTCCATTTATGAAGCTTAGTTTTGCTGGATACAAAATTCTTGATTAAAAATTATTTTGGTTAAGGAGGCCAAAGATAGGAACCCAATCCCTTTTGGCTTATAAGATTTCTGCTGAGAAATTAACCGTTAATCTGATAAATTTTCCTTTATGGGTTACCTGATGATTTTGTCTCACAGCTCTTTAGATTCTTTCCTTCGTCTTGGCTTTAGATAACCCGATGACTATGTGCCTAGGTGACGGAATTTCCCAGGAGTTCTTTGAGCTTCTTGTATTTGGATGTCTAGATCTCTAGCAAGGCCAGGGACGTTTTCTTCAATTATTTTCTCAAATAAGTTTTCCAAACTTTTAGATTTATCTTCTTCCTCAGGAACACCAACTGTTCTTAGGTTTAACCATTTAACACAATCTGAAATTTTTTGGAGATTTGTTCATTTTTTTAATCCTTTTTTTTTGTCTGATTAGGTTAATTCAAAAGCCTTGTCTTTGAGCTCTGAAGTTCTTTTTTTCTACTTGTTCTAGTCTATTGTTGAAACTTTCCACTGCATCTTGTATTTCTCTAAGTGTGTCTTTCATTTCCAGAAGTTGTGATTGATTTTCTTTAGGATATCTATTTCTCTGGATAATTTTTTATCCATATCTTGTATTTTTTATTTCTTTAAGTTGATTTTCACCTTTCTCTGGTATCTCCTTGAGTAGCTTAATAATCAACCTTCTGAGTTCTTTATCTGGCAATCCAGAGATTTCTTCTTGGTTTGAATTCATTTTTGAGGAGCTAGTGTGATCTTTGAGGATGTTATACAACACTATTTTGTCATATCACCATAATTACTTTTCTGGTTTCTTCTCATTTGGGTAGATTAGTTCTTAAATTGTTCTTGAATTTATTTTTGATTGGACTGTGGTTTTTTTGGGAGGGGGTTATTGTTGTTTTTCCCCTCTTAAGGATCAGATTTAATATTTATTTTAGCCTAACATGATTGTTGGTGCTTGTAAGGATGAAGTCTGTATATGAGAACCTTAGTTACAGAGAGTCTTTGTGCACTGGTTTTCCCAGATACTGGATGTAGTAGTTATATTTTTGGTGTGTGGGTGAGTTCACTGTCTCCTATGTAGTTGGCAGGTCATCAAGACAGAAAGTCAACAAAGAAACAATGGACTTAAACTATATCCTAGAACAAATGAACTTAACAGATATTTACAGAACATTCTACCCAACAACTGCAGAATGCACATTTTTTTCATCAGCACTTAGAACCTTCTCCAAGATAGCATATGTGACAGACCACAAAATAAGTCTCAATAAATTTAAGAAAATCCAAATCATATCAAGTATCCTCTTAGACCACAGTGGAATAAAACTGGAAATTAACTCCAAAAAGAATCCTCAAAAATAGACAAATACATGGAAATTAAATAATCTGCTCTTGAATGATCTTTGGGTCAACAATGAAATCAAGATGGAAATTTTAAAATCTTTGAGCTAAACAATAATAATGATACAACTTATCAAAACCTTTGGGATATAGCAAAAGCAGTGTTAAGAGGAACGTTCATAGCATTAAATGCCTACATCAAAAAGTCTGAAAGAGCACAAATAGACAATCTAAGGTGACACTTCAAAGAACTAGAGAAAGAAAACAAATCAAACCCAGCATAAGAAAAGAAATAACAAAGATCAGGACAGAATTAAATGAAATTTAAACAACAACAGCAAAAATATATAAAAGATAAATGAAACAAAAAGCTGGTTCTTGGAAAAGATAAACAAAATTGATAGACCATTAATGAGAATAACTGAGAAAAGAAGACAGAAGATCCAAACAAACTGAATTAGAAATGAAATGAGAGATATCACAACTGATACCACAGAAATAAAAGATCATTTAAGGCTATTATGAACACCTTATGTGCACAAACTAGAAAATCTAGAGATGTATAAATTCTTGGAAATATACAACCCTCCTAGATTAAATCTGGAAAAAATAGAAACTCTGAACAAATCAATAACAAGTAGCAAGATTTAAAAAGTAATTTAAAAAATATCAAGAAAAAAAAGTCCATGACCAGATGGATTCACAGTTGAATTCTGTCAGACATTCAAAGAAGAATTAGTACCAAAAATACTGAAACTACTGCAAAAGATGAAGAAAGAATGAATCCTTCCTAAATCATTCTATGAAGCCAGTATCACCCTACTGCCTAAACCAGGAAACGACATAACAAAAAAAAAGAAAACTACAGGCAAGTATTTCTGATGAACATAGATGCAAAAATCCTTAAAACACTTGCTCACCAAATCAATCAACAGCATATCAGAAAGATAACACATCATGATCAAGTGAGTTTCATACCAGGGATGCAGGGATGATTTAACACACACAAGTCAATAAATGGGATACATAACATAAACTGAAGTAAAAACAAAAACCATATGATCATTTCAATAGATGCAGAAAATGGATTAAATGGATTTAACAAAATCCAGCATTGTTTTATGATAAAAACCCTCAGCAAAATTGCCATAGAAGGAACATACCTCAAGGTAATAAAAGCCACCTATGACACACCCACAGCCAACATTATACTGAATTGGGAAAAATTGAAAGCATTTCCCCTGAGAACTGGAACAAGACAAGGATGCCCACTTTTACCACTTCTATTCAACATAGTACTGAAAGTCCTAGCCAGAGCAATCAGACAAGAGAAAGAAACAAAGAGCATCCAAATCAGTAAAGAGGGAAGTCAAACTGTCACTGTTCACCGATGACATAATCCTTTATTTAGAAAACCCTAAAGACTTATCCAAAAAGCTCCTAGATCTAATAAATGAATTCAGTAAAGTCTCAGGATACAAAAACCAATGTACACAAATCAGTAGCACTGGTATACATCAACAACAAACAAGCTGAGAATCAAATCAAGTACTCAATCCCTTTTACGACAGCTGCAAAAAAATAAAATATTTAGGAATATATCCAACCAAGGATGTGAAAGATCTCTGTAAGGAAAATTATAAAACACTACTGAAAGAAATCATTGATGACACAAACAAAAGGAAATACATCCCATGCTCATGGATGAGTAGAATCAATTTTGTGAAAATGACCATACTGCCAAAAACAGTCTACAGATTCAATGCAATTCCCATCAAAATACTGTCATTGTTCTTCATAGAATTAGAAAAAAACAATCCTAAAATTCATATGGAAAGAAAAAGAGCCCACATAGCCAAAGCAAGACTAAGAAAAAAGAACAAGTTTGGAGGTATCACATTGCCTGACTTCAAACTATACTACAAGGCTATAGTCACCAAAATAGCATGATACTGTCATAAAAACAGGCACATAGACCAATGGAACAGAATAGAGAACCCAGAAATAAAGCCAAATACTTACAGCCAACTGATTTTCAACAAAGCCTATGAAAACATAAAGAGGGGAAAGGACACCCTATTCAACAAATCATGCTGGGATAGTTGGCAAATTACATGTAGAAGAATGAAACTCTATCCTCATCTCTCACTTTATAAAAAATCAACTCAAGATGGATCAAAGCCTTAAATCTAAAACCTGAAACCATAAAAACTCTAGAAGGTAACACTGGAAAAACTCTTCTAGACATTGGCATAGGAAAAGAGTTCATGACCAAGAATTCAAAAACAAATGCAACAAAATACAAATAAATAGATTAATTAAACTAAAAATCCTCTGCATAGCAGAAGAAATAATCAGCAGAGTAAACAGACAATCCACAGACTGGGATAAAATCTTCACAAACTATGCATCTGATGAAGGACTAATATCCAGAATCTGCAAGGAACTCAAACAAATCACCAACAAAAAAACAAATAACCCCATCAAAAAGTGGGCAAAGGACATGAATAGACAATTCTCAAAAGAAGAAGATATACAAATGGCCAATAAACATTAAAAAAATGCTCAACATCACTAATTATCAGGGAAATGCAAATCAAAACCACAATGAGATACCACCTCACTCCTGTAAGAATGGCCATATTCAAAAAATCAAAATACAATAGATGTTATCATGGTGGTGAAAAGGGAATGCTTTTACACTACTGGTGGGAATGTAAACTAGTACAACCACTATGGAAAACAGTATGGAGATTCTTTAAAGAACTAAAAGTAGAACCACCATTTGATCCAGCAATCCCACTACTGAGTATCTACCCAGAGTAAAAGAAGTCACTATATGAAAAAGATACTTGCACATGCATGTTTATAGCAGTGCAATTTACAATTGTAAAAATATGGAGCCAGCCTAAATGCCCATTAACCAAAGAGTGGATAAAGAAAATGTGGTATATATACACCATGGAATACTACTCAGCCATAAAAAGGAATGAAATAATGACATTTACAGCAATCTGGATGAAATTGGAGACCATTATTCTAAGTGAAGTAACTCAGGAATGGAAAACCAAATATTGTACGTTCTCACTTATAAGTGGGGGCTAACCTATGAAGATGCAAAGGCATAAGAATGATATAATGAACTTTGGGGACTCAGTGGGAAGACTGAGAGGGGGTGAGGGATAAAAGGCTACACACTGTGTACATTGTACATTGCTCGGGGGATGGGTGCACCAAAATCTTATAAGTCACCACTAAAGAACTTATCCATGTAACCAAAAACCACCTGTTCCCCCAAAATTATTGAAATGCTAAAAAAAAATTCTTTTTAAAGAAAGTAGAGGCAAAAATAAAACCAGTTCCAGAAGACATTATGTTAAGTGAAATAATCCAGGTACAGAAAGACAAATATTTCATATTTTCACTCATAGAGGTAGAGAGTGGAATAATGATGGCCAGAGGCTGGGAAGGGTAGTCAAGAGGAGGAATAAAAGGGAGATTGGTTAGTGGGCACACAAATACAATTAGAACGAATAAGATCTAGTATTTAGTAACACAATAAGGTGACTATAAGTAGCAAAAATATATTGTGTATTTTAAAATAGCTAAAAGAGTAGAATTGGAGTATTCTTAATACAAAGAAATAATAGATGCTTGAGGTAATAGATACCTCAATTACCCTGATTTGATTATTACCCATTGTATGCCTGTATCAAAACACCATATGTACCCCATAAATATATTCAACTATCATGTACCCCTAATAATTAAAAAAATAAATAAAACCAGTTCCTGGAATGGCTGGTATTGGAATATCATCCTCTGTCAAGTTTTCTGATTCAACCCTCCCTCCTCCACCTCCAGAAAAAATTATCAAGTGCCAGGATGAAAGATACTGCAATAATTTTTAAAATGTAATAGTTCCATTTTCTGTTACAGAGCTTATTGAAGACCTAATGCCTTAAATTTTTACAATATAGCTAAGAATGCAAGTAATTATAAAGTGAAAAACATGTTCCCTTTGCTTGTGCAATATTTGTCATATGAAAAAGGGTTACTTTTTTTTTTTTATTTCCATAGGTTTTGGGGGAATAGGTGGTGTTTGGTTACATGAGTAAGTTCTTTAGTGGTGATTTGTGAGATTTTGGTGCACCCATCTCCCAAGCAGTATACACGGAATAAAAAGAGTTACTTTTAAGATTACTGTAACATCTCTTCCAGATGAGACTTGAAAATTTAAAGCAAATTTTCGCAAAGCCTCTATTATTTACTAAGTTAAGAATTAATAAGAAAAATCGTACTTCTTTTTGTGGTGATAATATGAATAAAAATTTTGACACAAATTTTGATATTTGTATTCATATTATGGATATTTGCATAAAAGTGCAGATAATGTGGCCGGGTGTGGTGGCTCATGCCTGTAATCCTGGCACTTTGGGAGACCAAAGCGGGTAGATCACAAGGTCAAGAGGTCAAGACCATCCTGGCCAACCTGGTGAAACCCCGTCTCTACTAAAAATACAAAAATTAGCTGGGCGTGGTGGCACTGCCTGTGGTCCCAGCCACTCGGGAGGCTGAGGCAGGAGAATCACTTGAACCCGGGAGGTGGAGGTTGCAGTGAGCCTAGATCGCACCACTGCACTCCAGCCTGGCGACAGAGACAGACTCCGTCTAAAAAAAAAAAAAGTGCAGATAGTGTTTATTCAAAGTCGAAGCAAAACATGAATAGAAGGCATTGACTGTCTGACTATATTCCAAATAATGCTGTTGAAACTGTGCTTAATGTTCTTTCTATAGACATCGAAGTCATTGCCATAAAATTATTCCCCTACTTCAGCATTTACACTGTTCAGGGTGATTAAAAAATTTTTGTGATTCTGTTGGCCTGCAGCAGTCTTCAATTCTCTTGCATTCAGAAACCCATTGGGTCTCTTGAACAAAGGCATTTGAGAGAATCCCCAGGTTATCTGAAGCATTTAAATAAATCATATTTTAATTCTAAAGAAAAGACTCCCCAAATTTTTGTTGACTTCTTAACTAATCCATTGAATGAGGCTTATTTATTTTTTAATCATTCTTGTCAATATCTCTTTAACAATATGATTATTCAGATTGAAAGAGCTACCAGTGTTATTGAAGTACTTCAATCCTTAAAGAACATTGTTGAATGCATTAAAGAAAGAATTGCAGAAAAAAATAGACCTTTACGTGTCAAGACTGTTCTTAAAAGGAACATTATTTATGAGCAGGAAAAGAAATTCCAACTTGAAATGAATAATTATTACAGCACTATTCATGGCTGCTACCTTGTGAAATAATTTCATTCCCTGAAGAGCTTTATATAAAACCATCAATTATTCTGCCCTTTTATTGATACATAATATTTGTACACATTTATGGGGTACATGTGACAGTTTCATGCTTGCATACAGTGTGTAATGATCAAATCAGGGTATTTAGGATATACATTGCCTTGAACATTTGTCACTTTTTGTGTTGGGAACATTTAAAGTCTTCTGGCTATTTCAATATATGTAATATACTGCTGCTAACTATAGTCACCCTACTGTGCTATCAGTAAGGTGATACACAGAACATTTTCCTTCTGTGTAGTTTTATGTTAACTCATTAACTAATCTCTCTTCATCCCCTACATCCCACCCTTCCCAGTGTCTGGCAACTATCATTCTCTGCTCTATCTCCATGTGATCAAACTTTTCAGTTTCCACATGTGAGTGAGAACATATGATATTTGTCTTTCTGCATCTGGCTTATTTCACTTAACATAATGACCTCCACTTTCATCCATTTTGCTGCAAATGACAGGAATCCATTCTTTTTTATGGCTAAGTAGTATTCCATTTCATACATATAACACATTTTTAAATCCATTCATCCATTGATGGGCATTTAGGTTGATTCCATATCTTGGCTATTGTGAATAGTGCTGCAATAAATGTGAGGGTGCAGGTATCCCTTTGATACACTGATTTCTTTTCCCTTGGATAAATACCCAGTAGTGAGATTCTGGATCACATGGTAGTTCTATTTTTAGTGTTTTGAGAAACTTTTGTACTGTTTTCCATAATGGCTGTACTAATATATTTCCACTGTGTATAAGAGTTCTCTTTTCTCCACATCCTTGTCAGCAGTACTTATTTTTTACCTTTTAATAATAGCAGTTCTAACTGGGGTAAGATGATATCTTATTGTGCTTGTGATTTGCATTTCTCTGATGATTAGTGATGTTGAGCATGTTTTCATATATCCGTTGGCCATCTGTTTGTCTTCTGAGAAATGTCTGTTCAGATGATCCTTTGCCCACATTTTAATGGAATTGTTTGGATTTTTGCTGTTGAGTCTTTCGAGTTCTTTGTATATTCTAGATATGAGTCCCTTGTCAGATGAACAGTTTGCAAGTATTTTCTCCCATTCAACAGGTTGTCTCTTCACTCTGTTGATTGTTTCCTTTGCTGTGCAGAAGTTTTTTGAGTTTAATATAGTCTTATTTGTCTATTTCTGTTTTTGTTGGCTGTGATTTTGATGTCTTAAAGTTTTTGCCTAGACCAATGATGTCCTGAAGCATTTCTCCTATGTTTTCTTCTAGGAGTTTTATAGTTTCAGTTCTTACATTTAAGTATTTAATTCATTTTGAGTTGATTTTTTATGGAGTGAGAGAAAGTAGTCTAGTTTCATTTTTCTGCATATAGATATTCAGTTTTCCCAGCATATTTATTAAAGAGGGTGTCCTTTTCCCAATGTATGTCCTTGGCAACTTTGTCAAAAATCAGTTAGCTGTAAATATGTAGATTTATTTTTAGGTTCCCTATTCTGTTCCATTGGCCTATGTGTCTTTTTATAATAATACCAGGTTGTTTTGGTTACTATAGCTATGTAGTATATTTTGAAGTCAGGTAGTATGATGCTTCCAGCTTTGTTCCTTTTGCTCAGGATTGCTTTGTCTATTTTTGGTCTTTTCTGGTTCCATACAAATTTTAGGATTTTTTTTTCTATTTCTTTCTGTGAAGAATCTTGCCGGTTCAGTGTAGTAAAGATAAAATTTAAAGAAATAAAATTTTAAAAATCAAGAATGTTATTGGTATTTTGATAGGGATTGCATTGAATCTGTAGATTGTCTTGGGTAGTATCGTAATTTCACAATATTAATTCTTCCAATTCATGAATATGGGATGACTTTCCATCTGTTTGTGTCCTTTGCAATTTCTTTCATCAGTGTTTTATAGTTTTCTCTGTAGAGGTCTTTCACCTTCTTGGTTAAATTTATTCCTCGGTATTTTATTTCTTTGTAGCTATTGTAAATGGGATTGCCATCTTGATTTCCTTTTTAGCTAATTCATTGTTGGTGTATAGAAATGCTACTGATTTTTGTATGTGGATTTTGTAAGCTGAAACTTTACTGAATTCATTTATCAGTCATTCTGCTTTTAGATAAGTCAACCTCTCAGTATCCAATAGCTTTGAGAGGAAAGACATTAAAAGAAAATAAATTAATCTGAAAAGGTTTTCACTGATTTTCAACTGGCATCAGTATGGCACACAATCAGAACAGAAATATAAAATCAAGCTTCCTGAAGCAGTTAGAACATTATTTCTCATAATTTTTCCAAGACTAGGAAGAGTTTATTGTCCCTACATGCAAAACAATACACTAATTCATAAAAATTTTTAGACAAAGAAAAGGACTTAGGAAAATAAGATAAAAATGGAAACATTACAGTAGTGCTTTTCCAACTTTTTTTTAAATCATAGGACACAGTAAGAAATACATTTTATGTCACAATCCAATATTATGTGTGTGTGTGTGTGTGTGTGTGTGTGTGTGTAGGGTTATCCCTCGCTATCCTCTGAGGATTGATTCCAGGACCACCCAAAGATACCAAAATCTGTGGATGCTCATGTCCTGTATGCAAAAATGATATAGTATATGCATATAACCTATGTACATCCTCCAGTGTAATTTAAATCATCTCTAGATGACTTATAACACCTAATACAATGTAAATGCTATGTAAATCGTTGTTATTCTGTATTTTTTAATTTCTATTCTTTGTTATTGTTGTATTTTTAAATTTTATTCCAAACATTTTCTATCACAGTTGGTTGCATCCACGGATGCTAAAACCATGGATATGGAAGGCTAGCCGTATATATACATATACATATAGTCAATCCTCACTATTCACAGATTCCATATTTGCTCATCTGCCTACTTGTTAACATTTACTTGTAATCCAAAATACTTGCAAAGATTTTGTGGTAAGTCAGGAATATTCTCATGTGCAGAGCAGCAAAAAATTTGAGTAGCCCTACGTGGATGTTCCCAACTAAGGTCAAGCAAGGTAACACTCAGCCTTCTGGTTTCTAGTTCTCCTATGGTAAACAAGTGTCCTTTTTGCAGTTTATTTAATACCACTTTCTTTGTTTTGGCTTTTTTCTTTCTTTCTTTCTTTCTTTCTTTCATTTTTTTTGGTGATTTCCCTGTCTGAAGTGGCCCCAAAACATAGTGCTAAAATACTGTCTAGTGTTTAAAAGCACAAGAAGGCTGTGATGTGCCTCACAGAAAAACATAGACTTGTTAGATGAGCTTCATTCAGGCATGAGTTATAGTGCTATGTGAGTGAGTTCAATGTTAATGAATCAACTATATATATATATATATGATATATACACATATATATTAAATAAGGTGTCTTTAAAAAGAACAGACATAAAACAAGATTATATACTGACCAATTTACTATAAGACCAATAGGTTCACATGCCCCCTGTGACAGCAACAGACCAATTACACTGAGTAACAGACAAGTTACACTGAGACAGCAGCATCTGCAGCAGAGAAAGAGTTCAATGATCACAGGGTGCTGAATGTGGAGATGGAATGAGACCCTGAAATTCATCTCCCTGAGGAGTTCTGGGCTAGGATTTTTAAAGAGATTGTGGAAGGAAAATTGGGGTCATTGATTGGTTGGGGTAAGGGGGATGAAATCATCAGTATGTGGAAATCACATTCTTTACTGAGTCAGCTTCTGTGGAGTCCTTCAGACCAGCTGACATCAGTAGTTTCATTGGTATGCAGGACTGGAAGAATAACTCAAATGAAAAATAGATCAGAGAGCAAGATGACCTCATGGTTAATGCTGAATGTGCTGCAAGCTTAGCTTATTTTCATTTCCCACTCTCTTCTTCCCTGATTAATTTTATAAAGTTTATAAGGATGGTTTCTAACTTACACAAATGTCATAACTAGAGGCTTGTAGGACCCTAACTCTGTATTTCCTCGGTATTAGTTAATTCAGTGTTCAAGGCAACTTTACGGACCATAATTTCTTAGTAACAAGAATCAACTCTGTGTGTGTGTCTGTGTGTGTGCATCAGCAACAATTTTCATGAAATGTAATACCATTACTGTGTGACACACATTGATAATTTATATTATGTTTCTCTTTTTAATGCTGATTGTAGCAGTTTCAACTCCCTAAATTGGTTTTAGGACCCATTAATAGGTCATGATGTGCAACTGGAAAACATTGAGATACTCCAACACACACAGAAAGAAAAAATTTTTCTCAGGTTAGAAAATAAAATCAGTGTTAAAAGGTTATAGAAAAAATAATGGGCCAAGTTTTATGACTGCCTTCTTAAGAAATTTTAAGAATGAGAGCAGTAAGTTCTTAGGTTTTTATTATTTTTGATCCTTTAGATGCCATGTTACTTTGTATTTTCCTTTTGAATATGTACCAGCTGTTGAATATAAGAATCATTTAATTCATGAACACCATTTCTCTTTCTGACATTTGACGGAGTTGATAATCTTCTGGAGATGAAGGAAAAAAGTTTGTTTTGGGATCCAGTTTGATGCAAGAAGGCCAGAAAATTTTCACAGATGAAAAAGTGGGTAATTATTCCTTGCATGTGAAACAAGACCGTCTTTTAGCGCTTTTCAGCAAATGTTTGACTGCAATAGTCCTGTGTGGGCTATTGGTTTGAAGGGGCAACGGCAGGATTGCTCAGGCTTCATCCTGATGGGTTATCGGCCCACTGGGGGATTCAGTTACAATTAGTCTGTTCTGCTATAGTAAAGGAAGAATGTCTATTATGATTATTAATTAGTTGTTAGTAACACTGTAAGGATAGACTATGAAGCCAAGAAAAATAAGCCCCAAAATTTCAGTGGCTTATAGTATAATAAAGGCTTATTATTGCTCTTGTCATAATTCAATAGAGACCCAGGTATCTCTCCTTAGTCAGTGACTCTGGGGCCCAGGCTGTTTCCATCTTGTCGGTCCACCATCCTGCAGCTTCGAGGCCACCCTGGCATCACATACATGAAAGATGGAGAACAGAAGACACATCGCATAAAAGACTATGCTGGATAATGTAGAGATCAGGCCTGGAAGTGGTTCTTTACTTTTGTCCATATTTTGATGGTCAGAACCCAGTCACAGGCCAACCCAACTCCAAGAGAAGCTGGGAAATGTGGAGGAGCACTCAGTTATGGATGAGCACTAATAATCTCTGTCACAGGCAGAAAAGCCTACATATCAATAGGGACATTTGTGCAAGGGATCAGTGTCTTGATTGAGTAGGTCTGGCTGAGGACGCTTTTATTTTATTTATTTATTTTTTTATTTTACTTTAATTTCTGGGATACATGTGCTGAATGTGCAGGTTTGTTACATAGGTATACATGTGCCATGGTGGTTTGCTGCACCTATCAACCTGTCATCTGGGTTTTAGGCCCCACATGCATTAGGTATTTGTCCTAGGGCTCTCCCTCTCCTTTCCCCCCACCCACCAACAGGCCCCAGTGTGTGATGTTCCCCTTCCTATGTTCATGTGTTCTCATTGTTCAACTCCCACTTATGAGTGAGAACATGCGGTGATTGGTTTTCTGTTCCTATGTTAGTTTGCTGAGAATGATGGTTTCCAGCTTCATCTACGTCGCTGCAAAGGATATGAACTCATTCTTTTTTATGGCTGCATAGTATTCCATGGTGTATATGTTCCACATTTTCTTTATCCAGTCTTTCATTGATGGGCATTTGGGTTGGTTCCAAGTCTTTGCTATTGTAATTAGTGCTGCAGTAAACATATGTGTGCATGTGTCTTTAAAGTAGAATTATTTATAATCCTTTGGTTATATACCCAGTAATAAGATTGCTGGGTCAAATGTTATTTCTAGTTCTAGATCCTTGAGGAATCGCCACAGTCTTCCACAATGGTTGAACTAATTTACACTCCCACTAACAGTGGAAAAGTGTTTCTATTTCCGCAAATCCTCACCAGTATCTGTTGTTTCCTGACTTTTTAATGATCGCCATTCTAACTGGCGTGAGATGGTATCTCATTGTGGTTTTGATTTGCATTTCTCTAAATACCGGTGATGATGAGCTTTTTTTCATGTTTGTTGGCCACATAAATGTCTTCTTTTGAGAAGTGTCTGTTCATATCCTTCACCCACTTTTTGATGGGGTTGTTTTTTTCTTGTAAACTTGTGTCAGTTCGTTGCAGATTCCGGATATTAGCCCTTTGTCAGACGGATAGATTGCAAAAATTTTCTCCCATTCTGTAGGTTGCATGTTCACTCTGATGATAGTTTCTTTTGCTGTGCAGAAGCTCTTTAGTTTAATTAGATCCCATTTGTCTATTTTGGCTTTTGTTGCCATTGCTTTTGGTGTTTTAGTCTTGAAGTCTTTGCCCATGCCTATGTGCTGAATGGTATTGCCTAGGTTTTCTTCTAGGGTTTTTATGGTTTTAGGTTTAAAATTTAAATCTTTAATCCATCTTGAATTAATTTTTGTGTAAGGTGTAAGGAAGGGGTCCAGTTTCTATTTTCTGTATATGGCTAACCAGTTTTCCCAACATCATTTATTAAATAGGGAATCCTTTCCCCATTGCTTGTTTTTGTCAGGTTTGTCAAAGACCAGATTATTGCAGATGTGTGGTGCTATTTCTGAGGCCTCTGTTGTACTCCATTGGTCTATATATCTGTTTTGGTTAGTGCGTACAATGCTGTTTTGGTTACTGCGGCCTTGTAGTGTAGTGTAGTGTAGTGTAGTGTAGTGTAGTGTAGTGTAGTGTAGTGCAGTGCAGTGTAGTGTAGCGTAGCGCAGCGCAGCGCAGCGCAGCACAGCACAGCACAGTACAGTACAGTACAGTATAGTATAGTATAGTATAGTATAGTATAGTATAGTTTGAAGTCAGGTAGCATAGCGTGATGCCTCCAGCTTTGCTTTTTTTTTTTTTTTTTGCTTAGGATTGTCATGGCTATATGGCCACTTTTTTGGTTCCATATGGAATTTAAAGTTCTTTTCTCTAGTTCTGTGAAGAAAGTCAATGGTAGCTTGATGGGAATAGCATTGAATGTATAAATTACTTTGGACAGTATGGCCATTTTCACACTATTGATTCTTCCTATCCATAAGCATGGAATTTTTTCCATTTTTTAGTGTCCTCTCTTATTTCCTTGAGCAGTGGTTTGTAGTTCTCCTTGAAGAGGTCCTTCACATCCTTTGTAAGTTGGATTCCTAGGTATTTTATTTTCCTTGTAGCAATTGTGAATGGGAGTTCACTCATGATTTGGCTCTCTGCTTGTCTATTATTGGTGTATAGGAATGCTTGTGATTTTTGCACATTGATTTTGTATCCTGAGACTTTGCTGAAGTTGCTTATCAGCTTAAGGAGTTTTGGGGCGAGACAATGGGGTTTTCTAAATATACGATCATATTGTCTGCAAACAGAGATAATTTGACTTTCTCTCTTCCTATTTGAATACCCGTTATTTCTTTCTCTTGCCTGATTGCCCTGGCCAGAACTTCCAATACAATGTTGAATAGGAGTAGTGAGAGAGGGTGTCTTTGTCTTGTTCTGGTTTTCAAAGGGAATGCTTCCAGCTTTTGCCCATTCAGTACGATATTGGCTATGGGTTTGTCATAAATAGTTCTTATTATTTTGAGATACGTTCCATCAATACTTAGTTTATTGAGAGTTTTTAGCATGAAGTGCTGTTGAATTTTGTCGAAGGCCTTTTCTGCATCTATGGAGATAATCATGTGGTTTTTTTCATTGGTTCTGTTTATGTAACGGATTACATTTATTGATTTTCATATGTTGAACCAGCCTTGCATCCCAGGGATGAAGCTGACTTGATCATGGTGGATAAGCTTTTTGATGTGCTGCTGGATTCGGTTTGCCAGTATTTTATTGAGGATTTTCGCATCAATGTTCATCAGGGATTTGGCCTGAAATTTTCTTTTTTTGTTTTGTCTCTGCCAGGTTTTGGTATCAGGTTGATGCTGGCCTCATAAAATGAGTTAGGAAGGATTCTCTCTTTTTCTAGTGTTTGGAAAAGTTTCAGAAGGAATGATACTAGCTCCTCTTTGTACCTCTGGTAGAATTCTGCTGTGAATCCATCTGGTCCTGGGCTTTTTTTGGTTGGTAGGCTATTAATTACTGCCTCAATTTTAGAACTTGTTATTGGTCTGTTCAGGGATTCTACCTCTTTCTGTTTTAGTCTTGGGAGGGTGTATCTGTGAGGACACTTTTAGATAGTTCTGAAGCACTGCTGAACTCTCTTTATCCATGGTTATTATAAATATTATTGCTGCTGTCTTTAATACCATATTTGAAGTCCTTTCTAAAACAATTTCATTTTATTTACTTTTTGAGATGAAGTCTCACTTTGTCACCCAGGCTGGAGTACAGTGGTGCGATCTCGGCTCACTGCAACATCCGACTCCTGGGCTTAAGTGATTCTCTTGTCTCAGCCTCCCAAGTAGCTGGGATTACACGCATGCACCACCACGCCCAGCTAATTTTTGTATTTTTAGTAGAGACGGGGTTTCTCCATGTTGGCCAGGTTGGTCTCAAACTCCTGACCTCAAGTGATCCACCCCTCTCAGCCTCCCAAAAGTGCTGGGATTACAGGTGTGAGTGACCATGACTGACCTCTAAGACATTTTAAATATAGATATTAAGAAGGAGGCAAAAGGCAGGCCCCAAATATGGGTTATTCCCCCATACGTTTTGGGAATATGTTGAATAAGCATTTTTATAATGTGGCTCCTAGATAATTTATACCTGAATCACCTTGGTTCCAACTGTTAAATCAAAATTTGTTAAAAAGGTAGACTTCAGAGACTCACTTCTGACCTATTAAATCACAATATATCTTGGTGGCCAGGAATCTGCATTTTAAGTTGCTTCCTAGATTACTTTTGTGTGTGCTAATATTTGAGAAACACTGCTCAGCAAGGACTAAAATATCTTCCACAAGAAAGCTGAGTTTGCCAGTGATTACAAAACAAGCTCAGATCTCAGAGCCAATTTCAATCATCGTTTCTAAATAAGAAAAGCCAGCATAGAACATTCTAGGATTTAAATTATCATAATGTTGGCTGACACAGATGATGACAGAGCCAAGATGATCAAGGACAGAAAAAGAAAAAAGCAAGACATGCTTTACTTGGACATCAAACCATTCAATATTTTATTTTTGATGTGTGTGTGTTGTGGGTGTGTGTGTGTATAAATCTCACCTCTACCACTTCCTTTGTCATCACATTTTCTAATTCAACCCTCCTCTACCCTTCAAATAACCTACTAAACAAAAGCCAGCCTAGCCTTTATGATAATTCAAAGTGATATAATAGCATCCTCATCACATGGCTGCTGTGAGGATTCAACAAGTTAATGCACATGAAGTGTTCAACCCTTTTCCTAACACCCAGAAGGATAAATCAATGCCAACAATTGTCAAAAGCTAACATAACCACTGACAGACCCCTGGTATTCCTAGGCTCTCAATATAATCCCACAGAGAGCTAAGAAATTGAAGGCCATGATATACATCACCCAAGGAAGACTGTGCGTGGATGATGCAGGTCTAAATACAGACTCTATCACTAGTTAATGTTACGGTGCAGCAAGCTTCAACTTCCTCAAATGTAAAATAGGTATATCATGGTATCCACCAGGAAATGAGTTAGGAATGGCAGGCCACCCAAGCTCACCCTATCCCATGGAGTATTGCCAGGGTAAATGACACACAGCCCAACTCTACCACTACTACCACCCAGCACACCCACTCACAGAAGGTTTTAAGCCAAATGTAAATCAGTGGATAACTTGTCTACTTTTGCCTCTTATAGACACGGCCTTGGAGTCTCCTCAAAGAACAAACCATCCATCAGTTCAGAAAATGACAGTGTTCAATTTTAAAGGGTCTATCTTCCCCCTCACAGGGATGTGGTCAGGAAGAGAGAGAGAAAAGAGGGGGGAAGGGACTAAAATGCCTTAAGCCCTCAGAAAGAATCTGCTACAATGTTTTGCATATGCTATTATGAATTTAAATAACCAAAGGCTGACCAAGACAACATCCCCTTCAATTTTGGTATGAAAGATCTGAGCAAAGCTGAAAAAAGGACTATTGGATGGCATGAAGAGTTCTTCCAAAGTACTAGTGGAAGTGGCATAGTAAAGAGAAAATAGCACGCTGTGTTTTTTAAAATACAGGTCACAACCCATTAATGAATTATAAAATCAATTTTAGTTTATTTTTAAATAGAATAGAATAGAATAGAATAGAATAGAATAGAATAGAATAGAATAGAATAGAATAGAATAGAATAGAATAGGACAGAACAGACTAGAGCATCACACATCATAAGGATATTTTTAAGGGTTTGTTTCAGTTTGCATGTGTATTTGGGTCACAATGTAATATTTTTTAGAGTGAATTGTAGTGGAAAAGTTTGAAAAGTGGTGTAGGAGAGAGCTAACTGCTCTGAAAGCACAGGGAGTTTGAATACAGGCTCTATCATTAGTTAATGTCATGGCGCAGCAAGCTTCGACTTCCTCAGAGGTACAAATGAGACTAACACCGGCCGGACGCGGTGGCTCACGCCTCCGTCTCAAAGTAAAAAAAAGAGACAAAAAAAAAAAAAATGAGACTAACACCTACGAGAAGTATTTGGAAGTCAAGCAGGTTCATTTATGTAAGTCCCCTTAGCACAGCGTCTGCCACAAAACAGTCACCTAATAAATGTCAGTTTATTTCTCTGTTCCATGTAAGGTATCATGCATGTAAATAGATTCAGGCATCACAACAAAAGCCATTTAACTTCCCTCAGCCTTATTTATTTATTTATTTATTTATTTATTTATTTATTTATTTTGAGACGGAGTCTCGCTCTGTCGCCCAGGCTGGAGTGCAGTGGCGCGATCTCGGCTCATTGCAAGCTCCGCCTCCCGGGTTCACGCCATTCTCCAGCCTCAGCCTCCTGAGTAGCTGGGACTACAGGAGCCCGCCACCACGCCCAGCTAATTTTTGTATTTTTAGTAGAGACGGTGTTTCACCTTGTTAGCCAGGATGGTCTCGATCTCCTGACATTATGATCCGCCCGCCTCGGCCTCCCAAAGTGCTGGGATTACAGGCGTGAGCCACTGCGCCCGGCCACCTTAGCCTTATTTCCTCATTTTGAAATAAAAGGGTTGAACCAAATGTCCCAGTGGTTTACCTGCTCTGAAATTGTCATTTAATTAAAATGGTCATTCCATAAATGCATCAAACAGATTTTCATTGAAATGTATTGCAAATCTCAAGTGACAAATAGATTTCTTTTTTTAATTAAACTTTTTGTTTTCAGGTAATTGTAGATTCACATGCAGTTGTAAGAAATAATAGAGAGAGATTCTGTGTATCCTTTACCCAGTTTCCCCCAGTGGTAACATCTCACAAAACCATAATACAGTACAATATCTCAACAGGGATATTGACTTTGCTACAATCCACCAACCTTATTCAGATCTAGGTTTCTTCACAGGTGCCAACTGTGAATGATCAGTAATAGCCGATTAGAGTACAAGCTTTGATGCTGCTTTGAGTCCTGCTTTAGAAGGAACAAATGTTTTCAGCAACTAGCAATGTCTGCCACTGGCTCATGATTGGGAGCAGGGAGCATGTTTGCTACGAATGTGTTTACTCTGAAAGCAAAATGCTCTCAGATTTAAATTACTCACTTAGAGCTCATGCTTAGTGAAGTGTAGTTTTTTCTCTTTTTATATAATATATTATAAACGTTTGAACACACTAAAATCCAAAGAAAATGTGCCAAGTTATCTATCAGAAAACTATATGAGCAGTTCCAATATGTATTTAGGTAGATAACCCAGTCTCAGCAGAGAGAATATGCCTTCATATAATCAACTATAAAATTATTTTAGGCACCTTTGAATAATTGAACTTTTTCATGTTGAATGCCTGAATTGTTTTATGCTAAAGGATGGGGGCAACCTTATAGGAGGGCAGCTGTTTGCTACACTTTTCTACCCACTTTTTGTGAAATCATAAGATGTGTCAATGTAATAGAAAACTGAATGAAAAAATTTGGAAAGGATAGTCAATTTAAATAAATCATTTTCTCAAAAATCTTCTTAAAGTAGGCCTAACTATAAGATATTAGTTATAGGATCTGTTGCTTTCTGGGAATTTAAATTTTGTATTGGACTTCCTAATACTTACTTTTGGGTGTCTGAGAATTACTGTTGAAGAAGGCTGTTTGGTATAGTAGAAATGATACAGAGCTTTGCCTATTTTTGGGTTTTGGTTTTGCAGTTTGCTATCTTAAATTTAAAAAACTATCCATATAGGCCGGGCGCAGTGGCTCACGCCTGTAATCCCAGCACTTTGGAAGGCTGAGGCGGGCAGATCACAAGGTCAGGAGATTGAGACCATGCTGGCTAACGCGGTGAAACCCCATAGCTACTAAAAAATACAAAAAATTAGCCGGGCGTGGTGGCGGGCGCCTGTAGTCCCAGCTACTCGGGAGGCTGAGGCAGAAGAATGGCGGGAACCCGGAAGGGGGAGCTTGCAGTGAGCCGAGATCGCGCCACTGCACTCCAGCCTGGGCGACAGAGCGAGACTCCGTCTCAAAAAATAAAAATAAAAATAAAAAAACTATCCATATAAAGCACATAATACAGTGCCTGGCATATAATAAGGATTAGATCAATGTTAGCTGCTATGGTGATGATGATTCTTAGCTTTGTGTATTTTAGTAAGCCATTTAAACTTTCTGAACCTCGCTTGTCTCATTTGCAAAGGGGCATGACTAATAAGAATGCCTTTTATGCCTACTTCACAAAGTTATTATGAGAATCAAATATTATATGTGTAAAAATATTTTGTAACCAGAAAAGAACAATAGGCATGTTTGTTATTACTGATACTGAGTCTTTCCTTTTCCCTACAGAATAGGTAATTACATATCAGTGTCCTGGAGTCCAGCTCTGATATGGTTCACAAGGTAGACACTGCTGAATGCAAGCCCACGGTAGTATTTTTCAGTCTGCTGGCTCCATGCCCCTTCCTTCGACCCCCATCTCCTGCCACTACTGCTTCTGTTACCTCCTCCAAAGGATCAGTGAATTGAGCACCTCTATTGGGACCACAGCCCTCCTCTGATCTGGTGGTGGGGTGGGAGGGTGAGAGCAGCAGGCTGGCAGAGAGAGAGGAAATGCATGCCGGCACCTGATCCAGGGACAGGGGAACTTCAGGCAAATTGACATGCTTACATGGAGAATGTTTAAAAGACACTGTACTATACCCAAAAAGATATCCTGGAAAGTAAATTATTTCTATCTAAAATTTAAACTGTCAAAGTAAAAAACATAAATCAATATCTCAGTGATGCATGCAGTCGAGGAAGGCATTATTTCACACAAAGTAAGCTAATTCTTGGATCTCTTTTTTTTTCCCACAAAACACTCTCTCACTTTTGTCAAAGGATGTGTTTTCTGTGGGAGAAACAGATGAGGCAAGAATCAGTCCCTGCAAGAGAAAGCTGGCTAAATTTGGGAGGCCTGGGTCTTCACTCACTTGTAAGAGAAATTTACCATCCTTTCTGTTTTTTCAGGGACATAATTATGTCTGTATTTTGTCTAAATTGATGGCTGCTGTATTGGAGGAGGCAGGAAGCTATACCACAGTCATCTTCCAAGTTTGAAGATATGTGATAATGTCACCAACGATACCCAAATTGCAAACAGGAAGGGATTAATTCACTCTTCAGAAATGTTGGTGTTGTTTTCGGCAGGTCTATTTTTCATCATTATCTAAAATCATGTCAGAGGATAAAAACAGTAAAAGGATACAGATGACTGTACAAACTTTGGCTTAGTCAGCACAATATAAAATTGCATGTCTAAAAGGATTCTGATTTGCACTATAAAATCTATATAGGAGAGTTTTAAACAGGCACACACAAAAATAGCAGAAAAGAACATTCTTTTAAATAATTTAAAAACCTTAAATGTGAATTACAGATTTTATTTAAAAAAATACCTCATGAAACATAAGAAAACAAACTTCTCTGTCCTGTAATGAAATAAGAACAGTTTTAAGGTATGACCAGGTCTCTTGATTAGTCACTGTCAAGGAAAGATTAAAACAGAATTTTGATAGACATTAATCAGTGTAAAAGTGAATGACCCTAAAGGACCCTACTCAGTAGATCACTCAACTACTTGAGATACATTGTACAGAAAATTCAAGGTGGCCTTCATTCAGGCACTCTTCTTCTTTGAGCCATTCTTCCTTTCATGCACTAGGCACACTATTGATGCCATTATCATTCAGATCCTCTCTTGTGGGTTTGTCACATTAGGAAGTGGAACTCTGGAGTCTCCATCAAGTTCCCGTGCAGACATCTGTCCAAATCCATAGGCTCTCTTCTGAGGACAGAGGCTTTCTGCTATGTCTGCTGATATGAACAAGAAAACTGTCTGGATCTCTAATTTTCTTAAGAATTTTTAAAAATCTTTGCCCCCTGCCAGGTGTGGTGGCTCAAGCCTGTAATCCCAGCACTTTGGGAGGCCGAGGCGGGCAGATCACTTGAGGTCAGGAGTTTGAGACCAGCCTGGCTAACAGAGAAACCCCACCTCTACTTTAAAAAAATTTAAAAAAGTTAGCTGGGCATGGTGGCGTGTGCCTGTAATCCCCACTACTCGGGAGGCTGAGGCACGAGCATCACTTGAACCCAGGAGGTGGAGGTTGCAGTGAGCAGTGATCGTGCCACTGCACTCCAGCCTGGGCAACAGAGCAAGGCTCCATCTCAAAAAAAAAAAAAAATCTTTGCCCCTTTTTATTTGGTAACTAAACAATATATCATCAATCAATTACACACAATAGCTGTACTTCTAACCCTGGACAGAAGCCTCAATTTAGAAATGACTATGACCTACTAAATGTCTGGTTGAGGAAATGAGACTGAGAAAGTCCAAGGAGCATGTTACATTTCCGGGGCTCTGGGTTGTTTTATCCTTGAATAAACTGAGGAAAGTAACCCTACCTCAACTGAAAATAATAGTTAGAATTTACTGAGAATTTAGTATGTGCTAAGCACTAAGAGCTTTACATGGATGAACTTACTTGGGTCTCACAACAATAACATAAGGTGATAACTATTTTTATCCCTGTTTCACAAACGAGGAAACTGAGGCACAGGAAGGTTAAATGCCTTGCCTAGGGCCTGATTTGTAGGTACTAAAGTCAAGATCCCAGGCAAATGGATTTGAGTACACCAAATCACACATGTCTTGCTAAATACCACTCTCCTCTGAAAGAAATTAGAGCTCCTTGGAGAACACCTCTTTCCTCAGGAAAGGCATTGATTGGCTAATTCTAGGACTGAAGGCAAAAATAAAAAACACAAGATGAGTCTAGAATATCTTTTTATATCAGAAAGAACATAAATACTAAAGAATGACGGGTGGCCAGGCGCGGTGGCTCACGCCTGTAATCCCAGCACTTTGGAAGGCCGAGGCGGGCGGATCACGAAGTCAGGAGATCGAGACCATCCTGGCTAACAAGGTGAAACCCCGTCTCTACTAAAAATACAAAAAAATTAGCTGGGCGTGGTGGCGGGTGCCTGTAGTCCCAGCTATTCGGGAGGCTGAGGCAGGAGAAAGGCATGAACCCGGGAGGCGGAGCTTGCCGTGGGCCGAGATCGCGCAACTGCACTCCAGCCTGGGCAACAGAGCAAGACTCTGTCTGGAAAAAAAAAAAAAAAGGCAGTTTCTTGAGGCTGGGCACGGTGGCTCACGCCTGTAATCCCAGCACTGTGGGAGGCCAAGTGGATCACAAGCGGATCAAGAGATCAAGACCATCCTGGCCAACATGGTGAAACCCTGTCTCTACTAAAAATAAAAAAATTAGCCAGGAGTGGGAGGCGGAGCTTGCAGTGAGCCCAGATCGTGCCACTGCACTCCAGCCTGGGCGACAGAGTGAGACTCCGTCTCAAAAAAAAAAAAAAAAAAAAATTAGCCGGGCGTGGTGGCGGGCGCCTGCAGTCCCAGCTACTTGGGAGGCTGAGGCAGGAAAATGGCGTGAACCTGGGAGGCGGAGCTTGCAGTGAGCCGAGATTGCACCACAGCACTTCAGCCTGGGCGACAGAGCGAGACTCCATCTCAAAAAAAAAAAAAAAGAATGATGGGCATGATGGGCACACATCCAGAAGGTACAAAAGCCAACTTGAAAGGGCTCTCACTGACCAAGATGGGAACAATTTTTAAGTCAAAATAAATAATGGTATTAATGAAGTATGACCCATGATGAAACAGAAATCCATGAGTCTATACTGATATAAATAAATTAAGGAATAAGTAAATAAATGGAGGAGAAGACAAAGTTTTTTCTTACAGAATGTCAGCTATTAAATGTGAAAAATAGAGAACAACCATTATGCAACCACTATAGAGGGGGCTGATCAAGACAGAAACTGTTAATGGATGCCATAGCTGGTGAGTGGCGATTAGATGAGGTACAGTATCAGAATAACTACCCCCATACATCTCCCAAATACTGATCAATTATAAAGGGAAAAATGGTGACTTTAAGATGGAGAATTCTGGCAGAGAGCAACGTGAGCAAGTGATCCAGGTTACCAGCACTAGCAATAGGATAGGTTAGCATCACCGGCCTCCTGACATGATGCACTGAGAACGGTTCAGCATCATTTCCATGGTATCCCTGCCAACAATGCGTGTCTTGAGGCTGATCATGAGAACACATCAGATGGACCAAAGCTGAGGATCATCCTACAGAATCTAAGGCTTCTATTTTTTAAAACTGTCAGGCATATGAAAGGCAAATAAAGAGTGGGAACTATTCCAACTTGGTGTCTTAACAGAGAAGACAACTAAATGCAACACTTTTTCCTGAATAGAATCCTGAATCAAAAAGGAAAAAGAGACATTGTAGGGCTATTTAGTGAGATTTGAACAGGATCTTCGGATTAGATAGTTATGTTGTATCAATGCTGACATGTTTATTTGACAAGTTATAGGCTCTATTATGTGACAGTGTCATTACCTTTGTGATACACTGGAATTTGCAGGGGTCATGGAATGTCATTTCTGCAACTTACTCTGCAAAGGTTCAGAAAGAGACTGATGATTAATGGAGTGTAGATGATGAAGCAAATGCAATAAAATGTTAACATGTGAGGAATCTGGGTGAAAGAGATATAGCAGTTTTCTATTTATTTATTTTTATTATTATTTATTTATTATTTTAATATTCATTTGTTTTTATTATTTATTTGTATAGCATTCTTTTACCTGTTCTGGCAACTGTTATGTAAATTCAAATTGTTTCAAAATACCTGTGTACAATTTAAAAATAGAAACATCTTCATTGTATTGTTAGAATCTTAAAACCATTTGGTGGAAAACAAAAAACTCAGGTAGTTAGTTACATTGCCACTCAACACTATGTTAGCAAACGTTTTTCTACTGAATTGATCAGTAGGGCATAGAAGCAGACTCCCTGCTACATAAAGTAACAGAAGGTTAGATTTAGTTTTCCGTATTTACCTCTTAACATAAATTTCTAACTTTGAGTCAAATGGTGTGTCTAGTTTTGAAAGACAATTCAAACAACTATAATTATCTATCTATGAAAACACTGTTTTTCTATGAGAATACTCTTTTTATGGGAAGCAGTTAGTGTGATGCCATCTTAAAACATAAACTAGAGGCATAGAACACAAAAAGCAGAATTTTATAACAAGTCATTCTGGAGTTTAGACATAACAATTGAAACCACAGTCGCAATATGTGATGTGAACCTGCTCTTTCTTCTGACATGAATAGCTTTCCTTACACACATTGACCTCATTACATGGTCTGTCTTTTTCAATTTCATTTGCTTATAATGTTGCAACAGTTGAACTACACTTCAGGTTTTATTCATTCATTCATCCTTTCATTCAGCAAGAATTTAGCAAATTGCTAATATGTTCTGAAGGTGTTAAAAATATGCCACCCCAAAATATGCTGCTCTGACATATTGAAGTTAAAGGCACTTAAAAAAAGAACAGCAGATGCGAGATCACTCTAACCTTCATGCTATTTCTTAAAAACAGGAGACAAAATTCTCATGTAAAAAAGTCCTCCCTGTACTAGAAAAGAAAGCAACATTCTTATGGTCAAGGATGGGAAGTTGAAGCCAAGGAACTCGGCACAAAACAAACCCTGTTACGCAAATCCTTATTTTCCCAGCCACTTCTCTACCCAACTGACTAACCTAGCCCAAGGCCCTTTACCTTACCACTTTGTTGCAATTTACTACTCTTTGTCCAATTCAGTATGTAAGTGTTTGGCTCTGCTTCTTCAAGTTTTAATTTACTTATGAGGGCTCAAATGCCACAAAAAGTTTGTACTAAATACATTTGTATGTTTTTCTCCTGTTAATCTCTCTTATGTCAATTTAATTCTCAAGCCCAGTTGAGACCCTAAGAAAATAGTAGAGTTTTGTCACCCCTATAGTTTATAGCAACTTGGAAAGGTCTTTTATTATTATTATTACTATACTTTAAGTTCTGGGGTACATGTGCAGAATGTGCAGGTTTGTTACATAGCTATACACATGCCATGGTGGTTTGCTGCACCCAACAACCCGTCACCTACATTAGGTATTTCTCCTAATGCTATCCCTCCCCTAGCCCCCCATCCCCTGACAAGCCCTGGTATGTGATGTTCCCCTCCCTGTGTCCATGTGTTCTCCTTGTTCAACTCCCACTTATGAGTGAGAGCATACAGTGTTTGGTTTTCTGTTCTTGTGATAGTTTGCTGAGAATGATGGTTTCCAGCTTCATCCCTGTCCTTGCAAGGAACATGAACTCATCCTTTTTGATGGCTGCATAGTATTCCATGTTGTATATGTGCCACATTTTCCTTATCCAGTCTAATTTGGGTTGGTTCCAAGTCTTTTTTATTGTGAATAATGCCACAATAAATATATGTGTGCATGTGTCTGTATAGTAGAATGATTTATAATCCTTTGGGTATATACCCAGTAATGGGATTGCTGGGTCAAATGGTAATTCTAGTTCTAGATCCTTGAGGAATCGCCACACTGTCTTCCACAATAGTTGAACTAATTTACACTCCCACCAACAGTGTAAAAGCATTCCTATTTCTCCACGTTCTCTCTAGAATCTGTTGTTTCCTGACTTTTTAATGATCACCATTATAACTGGTGTGAGATGGTATCTCATTGTGGTTTTGATTTGCATTTCTCTGATGACCAGTGATGATGAGCATTTTTTCAGGTTTGTTGGCTGCATAAATGTCTTCTTTTGAGAAGTGTCTATTCATATCCTTTGCCCACTTTTTGATGGTTTTTTTTCTTGTAAATTTGTTTAAGTTCTTGTAGATTCTGGATATTAGCCCTTTGTCAGATGGATAGATTGCAAAAATTTTCTCCCATTCTGTAGGTTGCCTGCTCACTCTGATGATAAGTTTCTTTTTAGAGTTACAAAGAAGCATGTAACACATTACTCTTGCCTATGAGCACTGTAATTTTGTTAATAAGCTCTCCTCAAAATATGTCAGATACGTGTCCCCAGCGCACCCTCTCAGATATCTGCATTTGGGTAGAGGAGAAAAACCAATGATATCCAATACTTTGGACTGTGAGGTTTGCAAGTTGCTAGAGACTTCTTGGGATCTGAATGTATGTAGAAAGTGAGTTTTAAAGAGAGAGAATTCCTGAAACAGTTTTTATCTAGTGTTAACAAAAGAGTGCTTTTCTTTTTAGATCTTTTTTATTTAATTTATTGGTCCAATGGGTTAGAATATGAGCGAGAGTGGCATTAAAGAACGTGTGTCAGCCCCATAGTATAATACATTTGATTTTTAAAAGAAGGAAGACTCAACCACAGTAGTGTCACTCACCACCACAACCTACAGTGCCAGACCCCTCCCCAGTGCTCCCATCCCCTCTTCACCCACCCAGCCAGTGGTGAGACAGAGCAGCCCACTCTTCCACACACACCTGTAATCAAACAGAGGAGCAAAACTGGTAACATGTGGTACTTCCGGCTGCATTTGGGAGAGGCTAGAGTTCTCTTGGGTCTTTGACAGAGTTGGAAAATGAGTGAAAATAGAAGGAAGGCTGTCTCTGTGAGATACTCCTGGTGTAGTAGGCAGAATTTTGGTCCCAGTGACATTTGACCCCTGGCATTACAAGCCATGAATATGTAACTTTACATAGTGAAAGAGACGTTTCAGATGTAATTAAGGTTATGACTCAGTTAAACCTTAAAACAGGAAGATTATCCTGGAGTACTTGGGTGGGCCCAAGGTAACCACCTGAGCCCTTAAAAGCAGAAGACAAAGTCAGAGAAATTCAAAGGTGAGAAGGGTTTGATACACCATTGCTGGCTTGAAGATGGAAAGAGCCACAGCCAAATAATTCAGAACCTCAGTCCCAGGTTCACAGCAAGGAACAGAATCCTGCAATAAGCTGAATGAGCTTGGATGTGAATTCCTCCTCAGATCCTCCAGAAAAGCATGCCTTGATTCTGACTTGTAAGACTCTAAGCAGAGAATACAGCCATGCCATGCCAGTCTTCTGATGTACAGAACTATGAGATAATAATTGGGTGATGGTGTACATCTGTGATAATTTGTTACACAACAATACAAAGCAATACTAAATTTAGGTATTGAGGTTGTCACTTTATGTGGTAAAAAGTAATGAAATAGACTAGAGGCCTAAAATAATAATCATATTCTACTCCTACTGCTTAAAACATTATCAGGATCCAGAAAAAGTCCACATGGTAGAGGTAATGCTGTGGTTTGCCAATGCATTCTCCTGCTGGGAACACATGTCTCAGCTATTCACATAACTAGGGTGGAACAATGGGGCTGAGTTCTGGTCAAAGAAATGTAGGCAAAAGAGATGAATGCACAGGCCGGGCGCAGTGGCTCACACCTGTAATCCCAACAATTTGGGAGGCCGAGGTAGGTGGATCGTGAGGTCAGGAGTTCAAGACCAGCCTGGCCAACATGGTGAAACCCTGTCTCTACTAAAAAGACAAAAAATTAGCCAGGTGTGGTGGCAGGCACCTGTAATCCCAGCTACTCTGGAGGCTGAGGCAGAGAATTGCTTTAACCCGGGAGGCGGTGGTTGCAGTGAGCCGAGATTGTGCCACTGCACTCCAGCCTGGGCAACAGAGCAAGACTCCATCTCAAAAAAAAAAAAAAAAAAAAAAAAAAGAGAGATGAATGCACTTCTAGATAGATCTGGCCAGAAATTGTCCCACGCAATCTTCCATTTTCTCTCTCTTCCTTGTTAGGGGCTGAATGTTTGTTCCCCCAAAATTCCTATGTTGAAATCCTAACCACCAATGTGATGGTATTTGGAGGTGGGACCTTTAGGAAGTGATTAGGTCATGGGAGTGGAGGCTTCGTGAATGAGATTACAAAAGGGACCCTGGAGATCTCTCTTATCCTCTCCTTCCACCACGTTAGAATACAGCTAGAAGTCCACAACATGAGAAAACGGCCCTTGCCAGAACCCAGGAAAAGGGCCCTCGCCAGAACCCGACAGTGCTGACACCCTGATTTTGGACTTCTAGCCACCAGAACTGTGAGAAATAAATGTCTGTAATTGAAATAATGGCATTCGCGGTGACCTGGATGAAATTGGTGACTATTATTCTAAGTGAAGTAACTCAGGAATAGAAAAACAAACATTGTATGTTCTCACTCATAAGTGGGAGCTAAGCTATGAGGATGCAAAGGCATAAGAATGATACAATGGACTTCAGGGACTCTGAGGAAAGGGTGAGAGGGGGGTGAGGGATACAAGACTACACATTGGGTACAATGTACAACTGCTTGGGTGATCAGTGTACCAAAATCTCAGAAATCACCACTAAAGAACTTATTCATGTAACCAAACACCACCTGTTCCCCCAAAACCTATGGAAATAGAAAATAAAAATAAAATAAATTAAAAATATTTAAAAAGAAGAAAGAAATATCTGTTCTTAGAAGCCACCTAGTCTATGTACTTTGCTATAGCAGCCCAAAGGGACTAACAGGCTGAATGGAATCTATGATAGTAAAAGCAGAAGGGGGAGAGACCAGCATAAGGTTGCCAGCTTGACACTTTACTCTCCATTGGTGTCACTATTTCAAATAAGGAAGGATATGTTGACACCAAATTAATAGGAAAGGTATTCTCTCCTTCAGAAATGACAGTCCCTCTCAAGGAGAACAGTTGACAACCCCATGTGATACATACATATCACACTGTCCTTATCTTTTTCATTTTGTTTTTTCTTCCATTATTGAAATCATCATGGACTAATTTGGAGACACACTTTGGGAAACCACTGTACTAGGGAGAAACCTCAAATAACCACTTATGGTATGGGGGGCAACAGAGCTTCCTGACACTTCGCCAGAGTCAGATTTTCATAAAGATAATGAACCATAACCCATCTATGCCAGAGGTTGCAATTTTGTGTGTGTGAAAAATCAGACCTGGCGATGATCTTGAGCAGTAGGATGTAAATAACTCCCACATGCTTAGCGTTCCAAAAATGGAACACTAGGCATAAATGGCTAAGATGCAGAGCACCCCCTGCCCTAACTTGTACGGCCCCTTCCAGAACTCTGGGAGGGCCCTAGCAATATATTCAGATAGTCATGTTTTTATGAGATCTTCAAAAGCAGGCTATTTTAGCCACAATTTATTCAGTCCTCTGTCCCTTTCCACTCTGACTTCCCCTATGTCCGCTGATGCTGGAGTAACCACAGGCACTTTTGGAAAATAGCAAAAGTGAAAGGTGACATGGGGACATTTTCAGTTTGAGTTGAGTGGGCTATACTTCTGTGGTTCACAGTCGTTTCCGTGTATAGTAAAGTCATTGCTAACTGTTCCAGTGTAGAAACGGCTTCCAGGAATACTTCTACCCCCCACTGTGTCAACTCACCTGGCATCCTGAAGTTGTAAGGACAGAGCCAGTTCAAGAAATGAACATCTCTTATGGCAATTGGTACTGGAAGCATGTGGATAGTCAATGAGAAACAAAGTTTGAAATGTATGGAAACAGAAGTTAGTCTGTACAAATGCTTCCCACATCAGCCATGTGAAATGTAGTGGAGGATTCAGTTCTCATCTCTACCTTGTCCAAACTGAAGTTCTGTCCTGTCAGGATTATATACCCAATAAGTTAGGATATACAGTTATTAAAAAAATACAGTTAAAAAAGTTTTTTTCTCTTTTCATAAAAAATGGCATACTTATTATAATAAAGCTCAACTGCAATTTGGCAAGAAGTTTAGGAATGTTTTCTTTAAAAAACAGGGACAAGTTACAAACTTCTGATTTGGTCTCATATAAATCATAGGTTCTTTTATAATTTAAATATTTATTAAGTAGCAGAAAATTTTTAAATAAAAATTAATTGCATATAAAACAAAACCAATACAGATTAAAAATGAAATAAATTGAAATTAATGTTGAGGAAACAAACTGTAAATTTTTTTTTAGATTATACCAACAGCAGTAATTCATTAAAATAATGTGACAAATTTCAAATAGAAGTAACAAGTAAATGCTTGGATTGTTTGAAAATTTAAATAATGGGCCAGGCACAGTGGCTCATGCCTGTAATCCCAAGAATTTGGGATGCTGAGACAGGCAGATCACTTGAGTCCAGGAGTTCAAGACCAGCCTGAGCAACGTGGCTAAACTCCCTCTCTACGAAACATACTAAAAATTAGCCCGGCTTGATGGTGCACACCTATAGTTCCAGCTATTCAGGAGGCTGAGGTGGGAGGATCACTGGAGCCCAGGAGGTCAAGACTGCAGTGAGGCATGATCACACCACTGCACTTCAGCCTCGTCAACAGAGTGAGACCTTATCTCAAAAGAAAGGAAAAAAAAGAAAATCTAAATAATAACGGAAAATAAATTATTGGAAAATGTGTTCCTTTTTTGCTGCTTTGATGTCTACAAAGAGATGGCAATAAACTAATATAATGAGGACCTAGCCATCAAATTAGTTAAAATGTCAATAGTTCAGAGTACTTAGGATCAATCACTGCACAAGGAAAATTTTAATATGAAAGTATCTGAAAGATGTTTTTGCAAGTTTAACAATGTTATAAGCTGATTTGTGTCCCCCCTAAAATTCATAAAGTTAAAACGCCTCCTCAGTACTTTAAAATGTGTCTGTATTTGGAGAAAATATCTTTAAAGAGCTAATTAAGTTAAAATGGAGTCATTAAGATGGGCCCTGATGGAGCATAACAGGTGTCCTTATAAGAAGAGGAGATTAGGACACAAACACACACAGAGGGACAGCCATGTGAAGACACAGCAAGAAGACGTCCTTCTGTGAGCCAAGGAGAGAGGCCTCAGAAGAAACCAAACCTGCCGACACCTTGATCATGAACATCCAGACTCCAGAATTTGTGAAAATAAATTCATGTTGTATAAGTCACCCAGTCTGTGGTATTTTGTAATGGGAGCCCTAACAAACGAATTCAGACAACAGTGCAGAAATTCACTTGACATTTCCAATAACAAGTTGTGAAGCTGGAAGAAATTTCTCAACTATCATCAATAAAAAATAAGCTTCCATCAACCATACTAAATGAAAGACCAGATAGTTATTCTGTTATTTCTATTATTTCCAAATATAAATCAAATGAGCATGAATCTAATAAATGTAAAGTAGAAAGTATTAACGAGCTGTGTAGGTAACCAATTAATAAAAATGTTATTTTTGTGAATTTTTTGTATTTGTTGGATTTGTCCGCTTTTTAAAATTTGTAATTTGTAGTGGTTTGTTTTCTCATTCACCAAAAAATATTTCTCTTCTTGCCTAATTTTGTATCATTTTTCTTACAGAGAATTCCAAAATTGTACGAGCTTCAGGCCCCACAAAACCTGGATCCACCCTCAGATTTCATTTATCTCGCTTCGTGGTGACAAATGAACCTGCTGTTCTTGTCACTCCCCGGGTCCGACTGTACTCCCAAATCTGTCAAGCGAAAAGTTTCAGAAATGTTCGTTATGACTCCTTGGATATTCTTAACTAATAGGGCCTCTGTGAGATCTGTACTACTAAGAAGTTTCACAAGTAATTCTAATATTCAGCCTGGGTTGAAAACCGCCATCCACCATCCACGGATGCTGTGCTTAGGGCCCGTGCTTCTCAGATGGTGGGCCATCACTCATTCTGAGTTGTGAAATCATCTTAACAGGTCCCAATTAGCATTGTTTTAATAGAATGGAATATGTTACCTTGCATCATAAGGTTGGTGTGTTCGTCCCACTTTTGTTTCAATATCTACAATATATATAACTTATACATTGCCTTGGGTAGCGCAATTCTGAATCCTGTGGTCATTAGAAGTTTCACAGCATCAATGTTAAGAATACCTGATGCCCCAAAACTGGTTTAAGTCAAAAAAAGGATGACCTGGTGTTAACTAATTGTAAACAGCCTACTTCCTTATGCCCTAAGGATAACTTTGTTATCGGAGCTGAGGAAAACAACTTCAAAATAGAGAAATTAAGAGCTCACAAACTTTCTTTTTTTGAAGAGATGCTGATTGGGGTGTGTGTGTGGGGGTGTGTGTGTGTGGTTTTTTAAATCCTGGAAATACTAAAATAGTTATAGAAGGAGAAAAGTAACTTGAGATGTAAAAAAATATATTATTTTACTATGGAATGTGGTGGGGAAAGAAAATAGGAGTGTGGAAAAGTTTTCTTCATGCAAGCAAATGTTTCTATCTGTGTACTTTAGAAGGAAATAATAACCGCAGACGAAGGAACACAGTATGAAAGTAAACTGCGTGACCGTTTGTAGGGCACAAAGTGAGTTCTTTCTACTCAAAATAAAATGCTTAAGTTATGCTGTCTGGCAAAGCCCACTGAGTTTGTAATGTGCTTGTACCTGGATATCTTTGTTTCCTGGAGCTCCTAAAAATAAAATAGGATATTCTATGTGACATTTAGATTTAGTCATCAGCTAACCCTGGACTGTTTTCAGCTAGAACCTGCTGCATTTTAATTTGGACAGCAGTGAATCATCTTTTCTTCTAGCATTCATGAGCTGATAATCATGAACTTGGAAGACTTTGAAAATTCAAGGTAGCAAATTTTTCAAAGCATTTTAACAAGTGAGATAAGTGAAATGCATGGGGTGGATAATATTGAGACATTGTTCTATTAGTTGCATTGGTATTTACTGGAGATAGTATTGCAAATGAGTTAAAGCCATGAGCTCAGGAAACAGCCTGCCTGGATAACAGTCTAGCACTGTACTCACCAGCTTCAGGAAGCTGTACCTTAGTTTCCCTGTTTGTATGTGGGGATATTAATGAATACAATTCATGGAGATATTGTGAACATTAAATAATACACACAAAATGCTTAAAATATTTCCTGGCAAGTACTAAGCATTCAACACATTAACTTTAAACACACAGATGAAATCAAAAAAGAGACCTTTATGCTAATTCAGCATTCATCTAACTGTTTTGTCCAGTTTCATTTCCAACATACTGGAAACAAATATTGTCATAAAAAATGAAGCCATTGTTAAAGAGGATCAAGAAAATGATTTTAAAACAATCTCTAACATGATGATTCTTAAGGTGGGGCATTGAGGAACCTGGCATTTCATTTAACAATTCTACTGTTTTCTAATAAATGTTCTGCTAGGTTGCTTTTAATTTAAACATGTTATCAACCTTTTGAAATGTTTAAATTTAAATTAAAAATCTAAATATTTAATTAAATATGTTGTCAATGATTTTATTTATTACTTTGTTAAGGAAAAATTATAGCCTGAGATTATTTGAGCTACCCTAGGATAATTAAGCCAGGAATGACTATTGTAAATAAGCAATGTTTACCGATGGAGGCATGAGTTATGTGGGGCAGGGAGGAAGCAGGAAGAGGAGGTATATCAGAATTACTGGGAAAGCTCTTCCAAAGCACAAATGCCCATGCTCCTCTCTACTGCTCCTTCAGATTAAGAACCACTGATACAAAAGAAAGTAGAAAAACAGAAGTATAATGGCAGACGCCCCAAGTTCTCTAATTTTTAGAATTAACTTTGCCTTTAACTTACAAACTAAGTAATACAAGCCAAATTCTGTGTATGGTGGGAAATCCAGAGCCTTCTCCAATGTTCCCACAGTTTGCTGTAAAGAGGACTTACGTTCTCCTAGATGCCAAATCCCTGCTCCTGCAGAATTCCAAATCCCCACTCACTATCTATCCCCCTTCCTCTGTCCCCACTCCACTATGCGGGTAGCCATCCCTGCACTTGCTTTCTCTTCATTCTGGCCAAGCACCACTGATATAAATCACCTCCACTCCCGGCTCTCCCTAAATCTGTTACACAGCTTCATTGTTTGCCATTGCATTTAGTATCATCTGGAAAATGATGTATTAACTCCACGAGAACAAAGACTTGGTCTGTTTTGTTTGCTGCTAAATGCTGTGCCCCATGCCATAGGAACCCAATAAATAAGCATATAATGAACGAGTGATTGAATGAAGAGAGTTTGTTATTTGTTATGTATTTTAACTATGTAGTAGAGTTTTACTGTGGGCTTTGGATACTGGAGATTACTTATACCAAGGATCAGAACAGGAAACAACTTCAAATAGACCCCTAGACAGCTCTCTTTTCCAAGCTCCTGGACCAGCTCCTACAGGGGATTTCTCACAAGCCTTTCCCTTTAGGCCACTTGTGTGACTTTCTTGGGGATTCTTTCCTTTCTCTTTCACACCACATCCTGTCTCTCCCCTTGCCCCAGGTTTAGGGCTCTTCCTGCTTCCATTGCTGGTTCAACCAGAAACATCTCTGCCCAATCAAAAATCCAGTAGTTGTGTTTCTAATGCTGGATGCCTAAAATTTAATTAATCATAAAACTTGGTTCATGACATGGTCTCATCCTTGGTTCAGGCATGGCCTTCTTTTTATTTATTTATTTATTTACCTATTTGTTTGTTGAACAATTTGTTTGTTATGCAATAAATACCTGTGTATACACCACCCTGCATGACAATGGAAACATTCATAATTTGTAACATCCTCCAATGTTATCTTCCCTATCTCATACCCTGCCTCCCTCCGCCAGAGGTAACCACTACCTTGCAACTTGTATTAGTCTTCCCTTTGCTTTTTAGAACTACAGTTTTACCATAATATAAATATTTCTTAAAAAGCATATTGGGTAGTTTTAGTTGTTTGTAACTTTTTTTTTTTTTTTTTTTCTTTTTTTTTTTTTTTTATTATACTCTAAGTTTTAGGGTACATGTGCACATTGTGCAGGTTAGTTACATATGTATACATGTGCCATGCTGGTGCACTGCACCCACTAATGTGTCATCTAGCATTAGGTATATCTCCCAATGCTATCCCTCCCCCCTCCCCCCGACCCCACCACAGTCCCCAGAGTGTGATATTCCCCTTCCTGTGTCCATGTGATCTCATTGTTCAATTCCCACCTATGAGTGAGAATATGCGGTGTTTGGTTTTTTGTTCTTGCGATAGTTTACTGAGAATGATGGTTTCCAATTTCATCCATGTCCCTACAAAGGATATGAACTCATCATTTTTTATGGCTGCATAGTATTCCATGGTGTATATGTGCCACATTTTCTTAATCCAGTCTATCATTGTTGGACATTTGGGTTGGTTCCAAGTCTTTGCTATTGTGAATAGTGCCGCAATAAACATACGTGTGCATGTGTCTTTATAGCAGCATGATTTATAGTCCTTTGGGTATATACCCAGTAATGGGATGGCTGGGTCAAATGGTATTTCTAGTTCTAGATCCCTGAGGAATCGCCACACTGACTTCCACAATGGTTGAACTAGTTTACAGTCCCACCAACAGTGTAAAAGTGTTCCTATTTCTCCACATCCTCTCCAGCACCTGTTGTTTCCTGACTTTTTAATGATTGCCATTCTAACTGGTGTGAGATGATATCTCATAGTGGTTTTGATTTGCATTTCTCTGATGGCCAGTGATGATGAGCATTTCTTCATGTGTTTTTTGGCTGCATAAATGTCTTCTTTTGAGAAGTGTCTGTTCATGTCCTTCGCCCACTTTTTGATGGGGTTGTTTGTTTTTTTCTTGTAAATTTGTTTGAGTTCATTGTAGATTCTGGATATTAGCCCTTTGTCAGATGAGTAGGTTGCGAAAATTTTCTCCCATGTTGTAGGTTGCCTGTTCACTCTGATGGTAGTTTCTTTTGCTGTGCAGAAGCTCTTTAGTTTAATTAGATCCCATTTGTCAATTTTGGCTTTTGTTGCCATTGCTTTTGGTGTTTTGGACATGAAGTCCTTGCCCACGCCTATGTCCTGAATGGTAATGCCTAGGTTTTCTTCTAGGGTTTTTATGGTTTTAGGTCTAACGTTTAAATCTTTAATCCATCTTGAATTGATTTTTGTATAAGGTGTAAGGAAGGGATCCAGTTTCAGCTTTCTACATATGGCTAGCCAGTTTTCCCAGCACCATTTATTAAATAGGGAATCCTTTCCCCATTGCTTGTTTTTCTCAGGTTTGTCAAAGATCAGATAGTTGTAGATATGCGGCATTATTTCTGAGGGCTCTGTTCTGTTCCATTGATCTATATCTCTGTTTTGGTACCAGTACCATGCTGTTTTGGTTACTGTAGCCTTGTAGTATAGTTTGAAGTCAGGTAGTGTGATGCCTCCAGCTTTGTTCTTTTGGCTTAGGATTGACTTGGCGATGCGGGCTCTTTTTTGGTTCCATATGAACTTTAAAGTAGTTTTTTCCAATTCTGTGAAGAAAGTCATTGGTAGCTTGATGGGGATGGCATTGAATCTGTAAATTACCTTGGGCAGTATGGCCATTTTCACGATATTGATTCTTCCTACCCATGAGCATGGAATGTTCTTCCATTTGTTTGTGTCCTCTTTTATTTCCTTGAGCAGTGGTTTGTAGTTCTCCTTGAAGAGGTCCTTCACATCCCTTGTAAGTTGGATTCCTAGGTATTTTATTCTCTTTGAAGCAATTGTGAATGGGAGTTCACCCATGATTTGGCTCTCTGTTTGTCTGTTGTTGGTGTATAAGAATGCTTGTGATTTTTGTACATTGATTTTGTATCCTGAGACTTTGCTGAAGTTGCTTATCAGCTTAAGGAGATTTTGGGCTGAGACGATGGGGTTTTCTAGATAAACAATCATGTCGTCTGCAAACAGGGACAATTTGACTTCCTCTTTTCCTAATTGAATACCCTTTATTTCCTTCTCCTGCCTGATTGCCCTGGCCAGAACTTCCAACACTATGTTGAATAGGAGCGGTGAGAGAGGGCATCCCTGTCTTGTGCCAGTTTTCAAAGGGAATGCTTCCAGTTTTTGCCCATTCAGTATGATATTGGCTGTGGGTTTGTCATAGATAGCTCTTATTATTTTGAAATACGTCCCATCAATACCTAAAATATTGGCAAACCGAATCCAGCAGCACATCAAAAAGCTTATCCACCATGATCAAGTGGGCTTCATCCCTGGGATGCAAGGCTGGTTCAATATACGCAAATCAATAAATGTAATCCAGCATATAAACAGAGCCAAAGACAAAAACCACATGATTATCTCAATAGATGCAGAAAAAGCCTTTGACAAAATTCAACAACCCTTCATGTTGTTTGTAACTTTTTAAAATGTGTTTTGTAGTACATGTAACCTTTTGAGAGCTTAATTTTTATTCAAATTATATTTCTAGCATCGTTTATATTCATTTTCTTTCCAGTAAGATATTTTATTGTATGAAGGTACCACAATTTATCTCTTCTCCTGTCATGAGGCATGTAAGTTTTTTTCAAAGCTTTTGCTATTTCAAACAGAAATGCTTCCATGGACATTCTTGTAGATGTCTCCTAATGTACACCTGCAATAATTTCTTTTGAGTATATGCCCAGTGTAGAATTACTCATCATAGATATATGAGTCTCCAGCTTTAAGAGATAATGCCAAATTCCTTGCTAAAGTGGTTGAACACTCCCACCAGCAAACTATAAACTAATCTACTGATCCACAACCTTCCCAATATTTTGTGTTATTAGACTTTTTAAACTTGCCAATTTACTATGTTTAAAATAGTATCTCATTGTCATCCTGATTTTTGGTTATCCATTTCACTGATCACTAATGAACTTGAGTATCTCTTTGTAGGTTTATTGGCCATATGTTTTATCTCTTCTGTGAGCTTCCTATTCATGGCTTTTGTCCATTTTTAAATCACTGGTATGGCCATTCTTTATTAGCTTACAGATGTCCTTTAGGTCCTTTAGATATTATTGCTATCAATTCTTTGCCAGGGTGTCATGAATATTTTGTCTCAGTTTATTTTTCCACTTTCTTCAAAATATCTTTTAATATTCAGACATTTTCAGTTTTAATATATTAAATTTATTGTCAGAGACATCTGCTGTCATAGAAGTTTAAGGGATAGCCTTGAAGGGTGGTGGTAAGAGAAATTTTCCACATGATTAGAGCTTCAAGCTGGGTACCTGATCATCCACTTTGTACAAAAAAGGAAGTGATCCAAGATTAAAATATACATGGACTTATGGACAGTGGCCAACGCATGGCCTGCTGGTCAGGGACTGTACTAGTTTCACTGAGCTGCCATGGAAATGACCACAAATTGAGCAGCTTCAGTTTACTCCCTCTTGGCTGGGTACAGTGATTCACTCCTATAATTCCAGAGCTTTGGGAGGCCAAGGCAGGAGGATCTCTTGAGGCCAGGAGTTCAAGATCAGCCTGGGCAATGTAGCAAGACTCTGTCTCTACAAAAAAAATAAAAATAATTTACTCCCTCATGGTTTAGGAGGCCAGAAGTCTGAAATCAAGTTGTCAGCAGGGTTGGTTTTTCTGGAGGCTCCAAGGAAGAAAGCATCCCGGGCCTCTCTCCTAGCTTCTGGTGATTGCTGGCAATTCTTGGTGTTCCTTGACTTGCAGACTCATCATTCCAATTTCTGCCACTGTTGTCATATCACCTTCTTCCCTATGGAGCTCTCTTGTGCTCTCCTCTTCTTATAAAAACACAAGTCAAGATATGTTCAGGACGATTCCAAGATGTTTCATCTCAAGATTTTTAACCAATTGCATCTGCAAAGACACTATTTTCAAATAAGGTCACATTCTGAGGTTTGAGGTGGACATGAATTTTGGGGGGACACTGTTCAACCCACCACAGGGGCTTAAAAAAGGAAAAGATTGGAAAATCTAGAAAAAGGAGATGTTGGAAATAGACATGCAGTTGGACATTAAAGAACAAGCATGAAGAATGAAGAGTTTCATGAGACATGTTAACACCCACCAAAGAGTGCCAACATGGAAGGAACACCAAACAGCCAGTCATAGACAAAATGACTCAGCCAACTCACATCAGTCAGCCTCTGTCATCAGCAACCCCAATCAGATGGCCAAGTGGATGAAGTAACCATCATGGCAGGGAGAGAGGCTATGCATATGTCCAACCTAGGTTCCCATTCATCAAGGTTGATTTAGCTGCTACTCCTGCCAAACGTACAACCTGCGAGCAAGAGAGACTAGTGCTGAGTGCTCCATACAGCATCACACTCTTTGGCCTCTTGTTTTCCTCATTCGACAATAATTTATGGAAATTCCTGCAAATTATTTGGATGCCCTCTAATTCATTATTTTTAATGGCCACATAATAGTCCATGGCATTCCAAAGCTTTTCCTACAACGGCCTCCTTTCATGTTATGACATCCTGTCAACTTCCTCTGATGGTAGGAAAATGGAACAAGTTGCCAAGAGCAATTGACTATGAGGATACCTGAGAAGATCCTGTCTGACTTGTCTTCTGCCAGTAACATACTTCCTCTCCTCCTGCTCTCATTTCACATCATACAGCAAAAGTTAACAGTTCAGAGCTGAATTTCTACAACTGATAAATTTAATTCTGGGAATTGAGTTATAACGTTAAAATCTATTTCTGGCTACAAGCTAATAAAGCTACTGTTCTCTCAAATAAATGATAAAAACAGAGAAACTCTTTTAAGGACTTTCCAGGAGACTTAGCAGAAAGCTAATAATATTTAAAAAGCTGCAAATACATTCTCAGAGTCACTGTAAATAGAAGAAAGTCAACAGCAAGTATCTAAAACTCTGGTGCAAAATTTCATGTAGCCAGGCGTGGTGGCTCATGCCTCTAATCTCAGCACTTAGGCTGAGGCAGGCAGATCGCCTGAGGTCAGGAGTTCGAGATTAGCCTGGCCAACATGGTGAAACCCCATCTCTACTAAAAATACAAAAATTAGCCGGGCATAGTGGCAGGCGCCTGTAATTCCAGCTACTCACGAGGCTGAGGCAGGAGAATCACTTGAACCGGGGAGGTGGAGGTTGCAGTGAGCCGAGATTGTGCCATTGCACTCCAGCCTGGGTGACAAGAGCAAAACTCTGTCTCAAAAAAAAAAAAAAAAAAGAGAAAGAAAAAGAAAAAGAAGAAAGAAAAGATAAAAGAAAAGTTCATGTAGGTCCTTTTGAGGATCATCATATATCCACACATTTTTCTTAATAATGAGCTAAAATTGATCTAGAAAGGGGTAATGGAAATGGCAAAAGAGAACCTGTCTACCTTCCAATTGTCCTCAGAAAAGCAGCAGCTGCCGTGGGATGCCCTTATATGGCATTTGTTTCCTGTTGTCCCTTGAGTGAAGTCTGCAGGGACACACTAGGGCAACTGGTACTTGCCATTTCCTGGAAGACAACCACAGAGCCGACTCTATAATTACCCGGAGGCCCTGCCTAGGTACCACAGTAGTAATCAGGCATCGGTCACCGGAAGGAGAGACGAATTGGGGCTCTGGATAGATATGCTGAACACAGACAGTGAACCATCCAAACCCCATTTGTACAGAGCCTATCAAGAAAGCTTTGCCTCCACAGATGCTACACAAAACATTGTGTACATGCTACACAAGGCAATGGACAACCACCACAAACTGCTCTGCAGTTCAAAATATCTGAATGAGAGCAAAATTTTATGAATGCAAATAAATAGTGCTGGAGTATCTAGAGATGCAGTTTGCTTTGGCAACAAATCCTGTGTCTTGTCTATCTGGATCTCAGATCAAAAAATCATGACGCCACCAGCTAACTGCCAGTTTTAAGTGACTGCTAGGATGAGTCCTCTAACAATTTCATTTCTCTGCAATGCAGCAAACAGTATATTAGCTAGGGTTAAATCAGCATCTGTGATTTCATAACAAACCAACGAATTCTAATACCATGTCTAAATTATGTGGCTATTTGTAATCACTTCCCTTGGAAGGTATAACCTTGATTGTAACAAATAATGTATCAGATCACCTTCTAAAATACAACTCCTTTTCTTGATTAAAAACTAAATGATTTCACATGATTTGATTTTTATTGTCTCAAGAAATTTCCACAATCTTTTAAGAAGTGGTTTTCAAACTTTATCCCGGGAAATCTTTCTTCAGAAGAAATATTCCCAGAGGGACAGACATATAAAAGCAGAACTCTTTTAATTTGCAGTTTGGCATTTTCCCTCCTATTGCATTGCTCCCTTGTAAAGAAAGAAAGAAATCTGTCATGGCTTATGTGTTAATGTAGTCATTATTTTTAATTTATTGAAATAATTATAAACTCAAGAAAAATTGCAAAAAATAGTACAGAAAGGTCCTGCGGGCCCTTCCCCCAGTTTCCCCCAAAGGTAACATCTTACTTAAGTATAATGCATTATCAAAACCAGGAATACTACTAACTAGACTATAGACTACTAAAATTCCATTGGTTTTCACATGCAGTCATTGTTTTGCATAGTTCTATGAAATGTTATCTCACGTATAGATTCCATCACCACAAAGGAGCTCTGTTGTGATACCCCTTTATAGCCGCACCCGCTCTCCATCCTCATCCTTAATCCTTGGCAACCACTGATCTGTCTCCATTACCTGATCTTTAAAAATGTTACCATTTCAAGAATGTGATATACGTGGAATCATATCTTATGTAACCCATTGAGACTGGCATTTTTCACTTAGCATAATACCCTTAAGATCTATCCAAGCTGACGTGCTATATGAATACTTCACCCCTTTATATTTCAGCATAGAATTCCATTGTATAGATTTACCTCAGTTTCTTTATCCATCCACCTTTTGAAGGACACTTGGGTTGTTTCCACCTAGAGTTATTGCAAATAAAGCCGCAGAAAATATTTGTGTACAGGTTTTTGTGTGAACATAAGTTTTCATTTCTCTAGGATAAATGCCCAAGATTGCATATGCTAGAATGTATGGTAAGTAATGTTTAATTTTATATGAAACTGCCAAACTCTTTTCCAGAGTAGATGCCCCAATTTATGAGAGATCTCAGTATGAGAGATCTAAGTATCTCTGCATTCTCAACAGCATTTAATATTATCAATATTTTTTCCCATGCTACTATGTATGTAGAGGAGAAATCGTTTATTTTTAAGAGCATTACCTTTCCTTTCTTTGCATGCCCAATTTAAAATTGAGAACTATTTAAATTAAAATAGTGCTTCCTAAACATAAAGTTAGTATAAGGTAAATGTGATAATTTGAACTCAGGAATGGCTATTTCAAACTGACTCTCAGTGAATGGCTTACACTGAGGTCAATGAT